>NC_000016.10:61229166-61532197 GCF_000001405.40 Homo sapiens
CAGAATCTGATTTGGAGTCTGATTTGCATGCATTAGCTTCAGTATAAAATAAGGGTATTCTGTACTATCTCTATTTTATACTAAGGCAGATCAAGGAAAATCTTTCAGTGTATAGCTTTTTAATAGGAAAAAATGCCTTGCTTTGGAATAAAAATTGATGTAGAATGAATAAAATGGACATCATCAAAGATTTTGCATACATCTTAGAAAGTATAATTGATGAAAATAAAAGAAAGACAATGAATTTCTGGACTTCAGTGACTTCCTGGACATTTCCGATATTAAATCTTTCCACTCATTTCCTCCACACATAGAGTACTGTCTGAAATTTAAAAGAACACATATTGAGATAATTAAATAGAAAGGTTTTTTTTTTTAATGGAAGTTCTTGGAGAAACTATGAGATGAATCCTTTTTATAACTTTAGATAGAAAGGCAGTGAAGCTTAACAAATGTAAATGATTTCTAAACTGTACATTTGGTAGGAGGGCAGCTTCAGGGGAGACAGCAAAGCAGCAAATAGAAATGAACATCCCTTTTCCCTGGAAGCTTCATCCTCAAAGCTGGATGTCTTTCTGAATGAGCAGCCCAACATCAATGGCTAGCAAGTTAGAGATTCCTGTAGCTGCCCTCTAGCTTCTTGTTGCAAGGTCAGGTCATATGACCAGCAGGGCTCTCATATCTTTTGCAACACTTAGTAAATTCTGAAAGATACCAAGAAAAAGAAATTTTGTGGAAATGCAGAAATACTGTAATTTCTTATGAAGAAAATTATTTGGTAGGGAGAGTAAAAAGAACATTGGAGTTAGACAATCCATAGATTTTTGCCTTTACCAGGCACTGACTGTACAGCATAGGCATTGACATGCATTGCAAAGAGAAATCTGGTATAACAAATGCTGTCAGTACTTCACTTATTTCCTTGGCCAACAGCATCTTACTGTGATCACCTACTATTTTCTGCCTGAGGACCTTCACTGGGAGCATCCTAGAATGCTAAGGATTTAGTGGCTTGGGAGCTCTTTCCAACCAATGACAAATGAAAGTTGGTTCGTAACCACCAAGCTTCTTGCTTCTAGGTTTTATGTAAGACTCCCAGGTTCTCAGCAGGAGTTTACGGGGTCTCACAGGATAAGAACCACTTGCCTATAACAAATCTGTTTATTAACATACCTTATTTGGGTTTTCGTTCTTTCTCTGTCTCATGTTCCTGACCACATATGATACTTTCTGGAATCAACATCTGCATACCCTGTTGAAACAGGAATCCTTTTCTCAGGCTTTGTTTCAGGTCAAAAACAAGCTAAGATACTTAGTTATTTCATTTCCAAAAATTTTCCTTGTGAGAGAGCTCCTAGTTTTAGCTCCAACATGTAAAAGGTTTGAAATTTGTTACTCCCAACCTTATACTAAGAGAAAAAAAGCTGAACAAACTGCTTTTTAACTGCTTTTCTTGGGTGTGTTGGAGAACAGAAATCACATGGCAAACTGTTACCCTAATGCCTGGAGAGAGAGGGACATTCATTGGATCTGGTTAACTGGAGCAGAAGATTCTAGAGCCGTAACTGGTAAGAACATTAAACTGTCAATTTTGAAGAATGGCTGGAAACTGAATAAGGACTATCAGGAAAGTGAGAAGCTCCTAGGAGCTGAGGTTTTAGGAAGGCCCCCACATATTGGTGAATCTTACCACCAGGGACCTCAGTAGGCTGTGGCATTGAGGAACCAAGAAAGAGCCCATCATGGAAGGATGGAGAAGAGTAATCTAAATCAAATATGGCCAACTGTTCTTCATAACCATAACCTATGCTCTGTGGGAAAGATTTCACCACAATCATTCTGTCTGGGAGAAAGGCATTTCTCCAACTCAGGTTAGGGGCAGAAACTACAAAACACTTGTAAAGGTTACAGCCAGGGATACAAGCTCTCTAAAAGACACATAGAATGTTTCACCACCTCCATGCCTTACCACCGCACCAATGAGAGTCTGGTGCATTAGAATTGAAGGAGTTTTAAGACGCAGACTCTCCCTGAAGATGAATAATTTGGGAAGCCAAAATTTAAGAATAGAGACAAAAACAATTCTATCAAAAGAAATTTAAGATGCTGGCACCTACAGTTACAACTATATCAATCATCAATTTAAATGTAAATGTTCTAAATGCATGTTTTACAAAACAGAGATTATCAGACTGGATAAAAGTTTACACATAAATAAATAAGACCCAACTGTACAAGAAAAAAAGTGAAATCTAACTTTAATATAAAGACTTAGATAGGTTAGAAACAAAAAGAATGGAGAAAAAATACCATGCTAACATAAATCAAAAGAAAACTCAAATAGCTGTTTTAATTTCAGACAAAGCAGGCTTTGGAACAAAGAAGATTATAAGGAATAAAGAGGAGCATGCATAGTGATAAAGGGATCAGTTCTCAGAGAGGATGAAGTAATCCTAAATGTGTATGCACCTAACAATGCAAAGTAAAGATCATAGAAAGATAGCTGGACAATCTATGAATATTTGAAGATTAAACAACATATTTCTATGTAACAACGCATGGGGCCAAGAAGGTGTCTCAAGTTACTTTAAAACTTATTTTGAATTTAATGAAAATTAAAATACAACTTAACAAAATTTGTGCAAGGCAATGAAAAGTGTTTAGAGGAAAGTGTATAGCATAAATGTATATACAGTTATAGGAAAAAAAGAGAAAGAACCAAAATTCAATAACCTAAGCTTCAACTTTAGGAAACTAGAAAAATAAGAGAAGTTTAAGCCTTAAGCAAGCAAAAGGAAGGATTTTTTTAAAAAGTTAAATCAGAAACTAATGAAATAGAGAATAGAAAAACAATAGAGAAAAAAGAGTGAATTCAAAAGATTATTATTTGTTAAGATTGACAACATTCACAAGCCTTTAGTTAAATTGACAGAAAAAAAATGAGAAACAATGCTCAAATTGCTAGGATGAGAAATTAGGTGATGTTACTATTGTTCTAACACAAATGAAAAGGATTATAAAGGAATACGCTACTAAATTAGACAACTAACTTAAATTTGACAAATCTCTGTGAAGACATATACTACCGAAACTGACTCAAAAAGAAATAGACAATCTCCTTTGCAAAAGAATTCCAAGTAATTCATGTCGGTACCTCCAACAAGAAGGTGAAGCATGACTCTACTCTTTCAGTGTGTGCTGCTCATCATGACTTTCTTTCAAAGAGTACAATATCAAAGGTTGGGAATAGAGACAATGTTGCATTCAGAAAGCCTTACAAATGATATCTAAATCAGGTGATCAAGGTCAAAATCAACAGTGAGTAGTCATATTGACTGTATGTGCATTCAGTAAGATGTGGTGAAAATACAGCTTCTGTGATGTTCCTCCCCAGATCTCATACTCCAGTGTAATTATGAGAAAAGCATCAGGAAATTCTCAGTGGAGGAGGCTTCTACAAAATACCTAAGCAGTATTACTCAAAACTGTCAAGGTCATGAAAAACAAGGAAAGTTTGAAAAACTGTAGCACTCAAACAAGCCTGTGTGATGATATGGCAACTAAATGCACCATACTATTTTAAGGCATTATTAACAGGATAAACTGGCTGTGGAGTATATCGAGCTCTCTGCACTATTTTCACAATGTCACCATAAATCCAAACTGGCTTAAAATTTAAAAATGTATTTCCAAAATATTCTAATAATCCTACATTTGCAGACATGTTCACATATTATCTGTTTAATTCTTATAAGTCTCAAATGCTGTCCTCAAATTAAGTCCCTTAATTTCTTCACTGTTCCTTCACTCCTGCTCTCCTTTCCTCCTTCATTTAGGACTAGAATTCACATTTCCAGAATAGTCTCTGGTCAATTAAAGTTTGACATTAGAGAAATCACATAGTATCTATTTTTTACTTGAAAAAAAAATTTGCTTTAGTTGACATGAAAATTTCTATACATTGTTGTTAGGAATGCCATTTAATATGACTAGATAAAGTTAGCTATAAACAGAGAACTAGATAATCCAGGTCAGATTAGTTGATTTCTTTAGTCTCATACATTTCTCTCTAATAAAGTTGATTTTTGTACTTTTTCAGTGAGAATGAATTATTTACTTTTAAATGGGCTTCAGATACTAGCTCTTTCAATAAGATGTAAGATAAAGTAATTCTGCACGTAGAGGAAAAGGACTAAAAGAGAATTCATATCAATTAAATACCTCAGATTTGTCAGGAGACATCTGAGGGCAGTAGTCATTATTATTTAATCCGTAATCACACTGTACTTTGTGCTTTTCTGGGGGAGATGTACCAGAGTTTATTCAAAGTAGACATAGGCTCATTTGAGCCACTTGGGCGGATGGTAGCGCCATTCCTCTGTGAAGGCTTGGTGGGAAAAGGACCTTGCAGAGGCATTTAAGGCTGTTGTAAAAGTGGTCGTTGATTCCCCATGAGCATTCTCTCTCTCTGCCGCTCTCTTCTGATTAAAATGTGCTCTTTCCTCAAAGGAATCCGTCATAGAAATTATCTGTGCACATAAATTATCTGTGAACAGTTGTTCACCCTAGTGCAAGGTATAACTACTGCATGAGAAATGGCTTTAGTAGCCCAAATGGAAGAAAGAATGTAACCAAGGAAAAGAAAGCAAAGTTTAGCTGATCAATCATTAAGAATTCTTTCTTACGCAGTCTCACGTTTCCTGGCAGAAAACTGAAGCCAGAATCCATGTGGGTTATTTCACAATGCTATTCCGGATGTCTGTTGTAAAAAAGGATTTGAAACTTCCTAGGAAAACAATAGATGCAACACACAGGGGCCATGCTATTTTTGTTACCCCAGTCATCAGTAACTGAATAAATAAGCTGGAAATATTAAAATACAAACTATTTATGAATAAGATGTAAGTTACTTATGCAGATTGTTTTCATTGATGAGAATTAATAAAGTCAACTGTAACTTAGCATTATTTTCTAATATAAGCTATATTTGAAAATGTATTATAATAGTAAATTTCAGGGAATGTATTCAGGTTACATAATTAGTTTTGGAGTTGGTGAAGTCATTGAAAGCTAAATGTAATATCATTGAATAGCACAAGAAAAAAAACAACCATCAGGCGCAATAAAATTCTTAAGATTTTACCATCCTAAGGAAAATTCCTTTTAAAAAGGATCACAGAGAATTTAACTTTTTAGTTTTTCCGATTAAACAACATTATGCATATGCACTTGTTGTTTATGAAGCACATATACTATTACTGAAATTGCTGCTTGAATTTAGGAAACTGATGAAAATTAAGCTCATAAAAATTTAATGCCATGAAACCCAAGTATGGAATATACAGTTAGGGGGTAGCTTTTCAGAGAAACCACATTAAGGCTTGAAAAAAGAAATTACATTAGATTTTACTCACTAATTTTGAATATGAACAGTTTCCTTTGAGCAAACATGTAGCTTTTCCACGTTCAGAGCTGCAGTGAAATAATTCTGTTCTTAAAATATTAGGACAGGCTTAAGGTTACCAGGAAGGATGAGGTGAAAGATCTTGAGAGAATTGAGATAACTAAGCAGTTTCCTCCACGGCAGTGCCACTGTGTAACCTCATTTGAATGTTCAATGTAGAGTCATGCAGAACCTGAACCTGTAGAAAACTGACAGGATTTGGGGAATAGAATCTTTTCTGAGGAAGTCGGCCTGGACAGTTTACTTTTGTAAAAGTGCTTCTATTTTTTTCATACAAAATGTAAAATGCATGAGAAACAAAATTTTGCTATGCTTACTATTTTTCTACTAAAATGTGAATGGATAACTTGGTAACTCTACAACCGAGAGGGCACAGAGAGTTATGCAAAACATTATTTAGGTAATTATTTAGTACTGTTATATGGCTGTTCCATTCTATTGTATATTGGTTTGAAATGTTAAAATTACAAGATAAATGATAAAATGACAATAATAATTTAAGAAATACCATGGGATTTTGAAGAACAAGATATTGTGCTAAGAAAAGAAAAAAAAAAGAAATATCCTGTAAAGACAAAATATGCCCTTTGTCACGTACAAAGACAATTTTAATAATTAGAACAGTTTAAATATATTCCTTTCCTGTGAAAGTGAAAGAGATGTAACTTATTCAGTTTATACTATGGGCATGACACTAAGCTAAACAGATAATACACATGAGTTCATAAAATACTCAGAAGAGCACTTATACAAAAATACTAATATTCTCATTTCTAAGGTTAGGGAAGTATTTGAAAAGGTTCTTTCATGTCCCAAAAGTTGCACCCAAAGTAAGGAAGAAATAGCATTTTAAATATATTTTTTTTCCAATGCAGTATCTTTGAACAGGTATATTCAACTTTACTAGGTCAATCAAGACAATGTGCGATCATGGACTAAGAAAAAAACTATTCTTCCTCTGGACAGAAAGTAAGATTTGTTGACATTCCAAGTTCCATTAATATTGATTCTATTTGACTCTATGGCCATGGCATTTAATAAATGGAATTTTATACAAAATAGAACCTACTCTAGTGCTATTTCAAATTGTTTCCTTTCCAAAATGTGCTCTCCAGAGACTCTGAACTTTCAGAGAACTGGTCAACCTCTTTGAGTTATATTCACAAGATGTAGCACAATACCAAGCACACAGTAGGTGCCCAAGACATACATTTTAGAAAGTCTCAATTAAAAAAAGAAAAGTATAAAATAGCACTGGCTTGAAAGGGCAACTCAGAACATCTTGCTGTTTTCTTTCTCTGTTTACGCTTCTCTTCCTCATTTTGTTCACCCAAATTATTCTCATTTACAGTTCAGAACTTTTTCTGGTTATCCCTTATTTGGTAAAGAATTCCCTGAGCGATCCTAGCTTTCTATACTACTTTTATTTAACTTGCACACAGTACAATTATCCCATGTGCCACACTGTATTTTAGATGTGAGGAGGATTACCCTGATGTTGAGAGCCTGGGCTCTGATGTCAGACATGCTTGCATTTGGATCCAGGCCATTGTTTCTTAGCTCAGTGACCTTGGGTAAATTGCTTTACTACTTTGAGCCTTGGTCTCCTCATCCTTCATTATTTTCTTACATGGTTACTTAAATGACTAAACAATCTAGAATCTGCTGATAAGCAACTGGAAGTATTGGGAGCATCAGTGGCAGTAAGTTTAGTATCTTAACCCCAAGCCAAGTCTGAATTAGGAACCTATGATACAGGCTGTCCAACAGACTGTTCTATCAAGATCGACACGTTCTACAGCTGCCTTGCTCAGTTCAGTAAACACTAGCTACTTGTGGCTAATGTACACTTTTAAATGTGACTAAGAAGACTGAGGAAGTGAATGTGTAATTTTATTTAATTAATGTATCTTCAAATAGCTCACATGGCTACTGGCCTTACTGGATAGCACATCTTTAGAGTACAGGAAATATATATATGTTATTATATTATATTTAGAGTATAGGAAATATACTTATATATTATATATTAATATAATATTAATTAATATAATAATATAATATATTTATATAATATATATTTCCTGTACTCTAAAGGTGTGCTATTCATGCAATACATACAATGCATTTTATTTCTGGCGCCCAGTACCATATTAATTGGTAACAAAATGATCCTCTAGAATCTTCTGTGGACTGTGGGGAGAAACAATATGTGTGATGATAGAAATGTGTCATTGTTTACAACAAAACAGATTTCCATTATTTTTGTAAGAAGTCTCCTTAGTGGCCACAATCTTCACTGAGTTTAAACTGCAGTCAACATTAGCACCTTTCCTCACTGCCTGTTTGCTGTAAGTATCCTTCTTTAAAAAGCTTTGCTGGCACACAAGCACATTTTATAAACTATACTGGCATACCATTATAATCTTAGAAAGTGGAAGACCCAGTATGGTTAGATTCCCAAGAGGAAAGAGTATGAAATACTTGTAATTTAGCTGGACTTGAATTAGAATTCAACTCAGGCACCATTAAGCTGAGTGGTCTTGGACAAATTACTTACTTAATGTGTCTGAAACTCAGTTTGTTCACCCATAACATAGACACCAATGCATTACCTACTATAAAGTATACTAGTGAGCATTAAATTATCTACATCCTCTAGTTGGAAGAACACAGCACAGAAGACAACTCATAGATGATGTCTTTCCTCTGAGTTTCATTATTTCCATCATACAGCCCTCACTTAATAAAGGAACAAAATATTTATGTTTTATCATTCTTGTCTCTAATTGGCATCACCATTCCAATTCTCCCCATAACCAAGTGGTTTCCTCTCTCTCTCCATGGAGACTTATTATATCTTCCTTGATGCAATACCCAGTATGAAATTTCATATTCTCCTCTGCCGTGTCCCTTGACTTTGGACTTTCATGTTTATTCTTTTCCCCAAAAAATGATTCTCACAGGTAAGAAGTTTTTGCTATTTAAGTGAACTTCTCTGATTACCTTTTCCCCACTGCCAATTCTCTTTCCTTTGATATGTCTTTGTTTCTTTTCTGAGATGTGTTAACTCCTCCATATGGACAGAAAGAGGCAGAGAAGAGGACTAACATCATTAAAGGGTATATTTTAGTTAAAATGGTGTATGTAATCTGTAAAACACCAGTTACGCTTCTCAACAACTGAACTCCCATTCAGAGCACAGGGAGCTGTGGCTTAGAGAAGTGGTGAAGTCGTGCTGCCAAGGTACCACCGTTAGTGAGAAGCAGAGCTGGGATTTGAACCTCATCTGCTACTCCAGAGCCCATGGCGTTTTCCACTTAGACACGCTGCCTTTTGCCCTAAATCTCTCCATAGCGGAGCCACCGGTCAAGCTCCCATTCAGAGCGATGCAGCTGCAGCAGTCAAGGGAAAGGGAAGGAAGAAAAGCCAAGCAGCTCAGCATGAAGAACGATAATAACCTAACTTAGATTTAAATAATGATAACCCCTCAGGGACAGGTTCCTAGCCTGGAGAGTGATTATGCAAATGAACCCTGTGTGTATTTCTGAAAGTAACATTTTGAATGGAAACCAAACACATTCACTGACTTCAGTGTTGATGACTATTTTAAGCTGGCTTCACAAAAAGAGCATTCCATCGTGCCTGCTTTTCTGCCCTGTTTCAAAAACATACAGCCAAGGGGAAAGGGCAAGTGAGCTAGCATTTAATGAGTCCTCTAATGTGCCAAACACTGCCTTAGGCACTTTACAGATCCTATTTTATTTAAGCCTAACAAACGGCCTGAGCAGTAGGTTTTGCTAGCCTCCTTTTTTTTTTTTTTTAAAGAAAATCAAGACAAAAGAAAATCATAAGGGCAACTGTTGAGTGCCTAGTAGGTATCAATTTTATGGTAACAACATTTAACATTTATGACAAGGTAATATAAATCAACATCATCTTAATACCCCAACTAAGTGAAAGATAGTTGAAGCAAGAAAAATTATATAATCCCTTAGAAATATAGACACAAAATTTTCTTTAAAGTATCAAACCAAATCTATTGATTATTGACTGAAACATCCTAATATATTATGATTAAGTAGTGTTTATTCTAAAAAATATACATGACTTAATTCAGTTAGAATACTAGTGTGATTCACCATACTGACCTATTGATGGGAAATGTAATCAATAGATTTAGAAATAATATTTGATTAATTTAAAGATGTGGTTATGATTTTAGGAATAGAAAAGCATATCTTTAACCTGATAAATCTATAGAATAAATTTTTGTCGAATGATTAGAAATATTTTCTTTAATATTTGTAACAAATAAAAGATGCCACTTCACTGCTTCTGTACAATGCTCTACTGGAAGTCATAGGCATCAATTTAAAAATAAGACAAAGGAACATAATTTAAGAACTGGAAAGAACAAATTAAACTTTACACACACACACACACACACACACACACACAGGTTTCTATAGCCCATTTGGTTCTCTTTGCCTTAAAAATTATTTATCATTTGATGAGACTTTTAAAAAGAAATAATTTACTATATTTATACTACTATAAAGAGGTAGTTGTAGCAATCTGGTCCTAAATTATTGATCTCTATAGTAGTATAGAGGTAGTTGTAGCAACCTGATCCTAAATTATTGACCTAGATCAGAAACATTGCTGTATTATTGAGCTAGTTCAGAAAGATTGCTGGATACATCAACATAAAACAATCATTTGAATCTTTTATTTAGTAACAAAAATATAATTTTAAAAGATATTATTTAAAGTGTCAGCAAAAGAAATAATGAATGTAGGGAATCAACCTACAAGAGACAGTTAGATATTTTGTACGATATTATAACTCTTTTCATAAGTCATAAAGAACACAAAATATACGAAAAAATATACCATGTCTATGGATGGGAAGACTTTGTGTCATATATGCAGTGATACTCCCCAAACTATTCTAGACACTTGATTGTAATGCCAATCAGTACTTTAAAACAGGTCTTTATGTAGAAATTGACAGATGGTTTCAGATGACAAACAATAGTGTAAACTAAAAATAAATTTCTAAGCCCCCCAACCAACTGAATGGACCCCTCTTCTTTGGCCAAAGGCATCCTAAAATAAACATGAAACACCAGTTCAGGACATTATGGGAATGGATGCTCAGACATACCTCATTAAACCCTACTCCTTTTGGAAATGAGGCACAGCTAACCAGCATTTACATTGAAAAAGAGACCTAAAAACTGATAGAACAGACTCTTTAAATCTGATAAGAAACATGAACAATCTAGTCTCTCCGAAGCCTGCTACCTGGAGACTTTATCTGTATAATGAGAACCTTGGTCTCCACAACTCATTATCTTAACCCAGACACTCCCTTCTCTTGATTCCAATCTTTCGATAAACTCTTTTAACCAATTACCAATCAGAGATTCTTTGAATTCACATAGAATCTAGAGGCCCCTGACAACCCCCACTCTGAATTGTCCCACCTTTCTCGACTGAAACCAATGTAAATCTTACATGTATTGATTGATATCTTATGTCTCTCTAAAATACATAAAACCAATCTGTTAGCCTGACCACCTTGGGCACATGTTCTCAAGATTTCCTGGAGCTATGTCACAGACAATGGTGACACATATTTGGCTAAGAATATATCTATTCAAACATTTTAGAGTTTGACCTATTTCATTGACAATAGCCAAGACACTTTAAAAGAATAAAAGGAAACATTACTTAACAGGTATCAAGAATTTCTATAAGCTAGGGTATCAGAATATAGGGATTTTGTCACAATAGTTAAAAAAAAAAGATACAGACACAGATCCAAGTACATTTGTAGTTTCATTAAAAGTCTAAAATTAAGTTTGGGGATGACTTATGGGACATCTCTGTACTGAGGACCTCTGGATCTCAACTTAAATTCCTGCCAGTAGAAGCACATTTCATGGTCCTGATATAGGAGTTAAGAAGAAATTATTTAGGCAGCTAGTGAGGTTTTCCTTTTAATGAAAAGCAGCCCCCAAATAATTTTCTTTTCTAATAAAAAACAGCCTGTAAAATCAAGCTGCAGACACATATGAGCAAGCTGGAAGCTTGCACAGGTGAATGCCGGCAGCTGTGCCAATAGGAAAAGGCTACCTGGGGGCTAGACATGTCCAACATGGGGGCTCCATCTTCCCTTCCCCTTTCCTTGTCAACCATGGGTACAGTAAGGAACAGGCAACATGTGCCAGCCAAGTAGAGACTCCATTTGCATAATAAAAGATTAGGGTGAAGTGGCCTGCTTCCTTATGTGCTATGATAACCTCACACCTGGTCCAACCAATCTTTGGGCCCTATATAAATCAGATACTGCCTCCTCAAGCCTATCTATAAAACCCTGTGTGCTCTGCTATGGTCCAGAAGTCCCACTCCAGAGCCCCTCACTCTCAGAGGAGTGAGAGCTGTTCTCCTTTCTCTTTTTTTGCTGATTAAACCTCTGCTCCTAAACCCACTTATTCTGTCTGCATCCTTGATTTCCTTTGTGTGAGACGACAAACCTTAGGTATTTACCCCAGACACAACACCTCTTCAGTCCCAATGACATGAAATTGACACTGGCTTATTCCTCATCCTGTAAATAAGATTCCTAAATAATCCTGCCCACTTTGGTCTCTGAAAAGAGGGAGGCTCCTATTTCAGCACAGAGTCACTGTTTGGCAGGTTCTGGGTTCTTGTCCCATGACCATGAGAAATCAGGAGAGTGAGCAAGGCAGAGAAGAATTGTATTGAGCGACAGAAAAGCTCTCAACAAAGCTGTTGAAACAGTAAGTTATCCTAGACTCCTGTTAATTTTTCCAGAGAAAACTGAAATCTTTAACAACTGAAATAATCTTTTTTTTCTGAAGAGGTCTACTTTTTTCTACTTTTTTTAGGGGTTAAATATTTCATAAAGCCCATGAGTTGAGAAATACATACATATACATGTCCTTGTGATGGTCTCAATTCCTTGAATATCATCCCCTTTCCGAGACCTGGATTTCTCCTCTCTAGTATGATATGGTATAATCATAAATATTTGGAAAGTATTAGTGAAGGAAAATAGCCTGAACTGCTGTTAGCTGATTAGCCTCATATTACTTCAATCACATCCAGGCCTTAAAAGTGCATTAGAAGACAAGGTCTTCATTCTTTTACCTTTCAGACTCATAATAAATTGACACATATTCTGCTAATTTTACACTCTTTTTTTTTCTAATGAAAGAAAGCCAGGCCTCCTATTTCTTTTATTTGTCTTTGTTTTAATAAGGTGTATACTGTCATAAAACTTCCCAATGCTAGTTGAAGCATTCTGCATGCTTTCTGAAACTAAAGAAAATGTCTATACTTGAATAGAACCCAATTTCTATATCTGAATAGAAAAAATTTGTTTTCTAAAAGTGATGGTTACAAAAGAATTGACCTTTTGGAGAGTGATCTTATATTTAGAAGGGATAATTTTATAAGCCTCCTTAAGATGAGACCTCCAAAGCATGTGTGTGTGTCACCAAAATTATATCATTAGTTTCTTGAGGTAGTGGAAGGATTTTGTTAGTTGCACCAGGAATGTAAGATAGAGCACAAACATCAAACTTATAGAAAACATCATCTTCTGTCATCCATGTAACTGTTTCCTGATACAGTCTTCTAGTATTCTGTCAACTTGCCCGTAGTTTCAGAAAAATTACTAAAACCATGACATGCTTAGCAAGAGTGTGTTAGAAAATGAATAAAATAATATTAATAAGATGACACTTTACAGCAAATTTATAGTGGGAAATACTGAGGTTAAATCCAGGAGGAACCAGGTTTTACAGGAAGTTATATTTAATTAAATCCCTATTGGTAGAGGTGAAGATTCAGTGTACATGTTTGCCATATAACATAGCCAACTTGCATAAAAATTTGAAAATTTTTAGAAAAAAAACATACAATTATATGCATTATTAATTCTACTCTTCTAAAATAATTCTGTCACCATGTTGTTAAATTTCTTCCTATCTTCCTGTCTTTTTCTTCCCTCTATATAAGTCTGTTTCTCACTGTAATCATAGTACCTATATAAATGTATATCTTCTTCCCTCAGTTAATAGTGTATTGCTTTTTCATTATCTGTGAAATAATAATCTTCCTCTTATTATTTCAATGGGTGCATAGAATTCCATTGAGTGACTCTACGATAATTTATTAATCTAAAAGAATGAATTTGGGAAATACTTGTCTTCAATTTTTTTTGCACCTGTTATTTTAAGTAATTCAAGCTGAATATCTCTGTAAACTAATATCATATTCATAATTATTTCTTTCAAATGGAATTTGTGTCCACATGTGTAAAATTAGAACAGTATGCATATTTAAGGCCAATAATGTATTTTTAGATTATAAAAAATCATCAAATAAGCATGTGCTATTTTCTTATACTTATTAAAAATAACTGAATTAGTTTGACATCTCAGTTGTCTGAACCAAAATGGTTAATAGTTATGTCCTTAAATTCTAGGAATATTAGTTAGCTTGTAGAGTAATCATTATTTCACCTAAAGACCTTAATCATAAAAGTGTCAAAATGAGGACAGCATAGGACCTGAATTCTCATGGCCAATGTGAAAATAGATATATACAGAAATAGAGAAAGAATGGAGCATGAAGTAGAATATAGAGTGCACTGTCTTTCTCTCTATATATGTAAAATACATGCACATGTATTATGTGCATAGAGCTATTATTAGCAGAGATTAATTAAGAGTGTACTTTTGGATACCAAGGTATTTACAATATGATATTTACAATGAATTAACAACATGATTCTAATTATAGAGTTCCTAGAATTTCAATCGCAATAGCCATAACATGATAGCTAATGAAAAACTTACTTTTTTTTTTTTTTTTTTTGAGACGGAGTCTTGCTCTGTTGCCCAGGCTGGAGTGCAGTGGTGCGATCTCGGCTCACTGCAAGCCCCACCTCCCAGGTTCAGGCCATTCTTCTGCCTCAGCCTCCTGAGTAGCTGGGACTACAGGCGCCCGCCACCATGCCCGGCTAAGAAAAACTTACTTTTTGTTAGATCCTCTGCTAAGAGCATTATATATTATCTCAAAGAACTGTAGAGGAGGAAAAACACATTTTCCGCTACCCATCTTAAGTTTATTGGCTGAAGCCCTGTACATGAGACTGACAAAAGACAGATTCACAAGAGAAAAACAAGCAGAAGTTCTTGAACGCAGGCATCATACACACATAGAAGCACCCAGTGAGGAGTACAACTCACAGGCATGGCTCAAGCTTGGGCCCATAGAGCATCTTCACCAAAGAGCAATAATTTTGTAGAGAAGTGACAAGAAGAAATGACATAGGATTCTTTTGGTGCCACTTTGCCATCTGGAAATCTCTACCGCTGGCAGTGCCTCTGCCTGTGCTTCACTCCCACCCATGGGGCTTGCTCTGCCCGCTGGGCCTGACAGGCTGTGCTCTGCTCGTACTATGGCCTGGATTCTGCACCCACTGTGGCTCTGTGCTCAGCCTGCAGCAGGTCCTGCAGCCTGCCATGACTGGCTTCCGCCTTGGGTGTCAGCATCTGGACAAGGGGAATGTAGCCGTACCTGAAAACTTGGAGATGCCAACAACTGTGGAGCCCCAAGGGGTGTTCTAGCTTTTGCCTGGGGAGTCCCAAGGTCTGAGCCCCCCAGGAAGTGTTAACAGCTGTCGTTTGTTCCTGCCACCTGCAGCTTCGGCAAATGGGGGTGTGTCGCAACTCGTTTGGTCCCGCGCTGGCAGCTCAGCAAATCGGGGTGTGTGGCGTCCAGCAGTTTTTTTCACTCCTGTAGCTCAGGAAGCAGGAGCACACGTTACAGCTCTTTTCGCAGCAGCCACTGTTTGGCAGGCTCTGGGTTCTCGTCCCACGATCAAGAGAAATCAGGAGAGTGAGCAAGGCAGAGAAGAATTTTATTGAGCCACAGAAAAGCTCTCAACAATGAGAGGGGGCCCAAAGTGGGTAGCCCTCTGAGAGGGAGTCCGAAAGCGGGTAGTCATCTGTGAGGCTGAGTCCGGGGGATTTTATAGGCTTAGAATGGGGGAGTGCATGCTGATTGGTCCACGAGTAGGCTTTGAAAAAACACCATTCGATTGGCTAAAAGGCATAGAGAAAGTTCTTACTCCAATAGTGAACTCCACCCAGAATTGGCCACTGGTTTTCAGGCTTTAGGCTGTCTTTTGCTTGAAGGTCGGGTTTTACCGAGCACCCATTTCTGTTTGCGTAGGAATTTGTCTGTCTCCTGCAACTATCAAAAGAAAAAATGCTGAGCTTCAAGGAGCAGTAAATTGTGAAAAGGCAAATGTTTGAGCAAACTAATGGTAGATAAGAATAGTTATGTTGGCTTTTGGAGACTCTTTTGGTGACATCCTGTCACTTGTGACAAGGTTGTTATTCCCTTCCTGGTATGGGAAGTAGGGGGTCACCTTCACAAAAGGAAGAAATGTTCTGCTTTCAGGCAGATGGGTGGAGAGCAGAGAGCTCATCCTGTGTCTGCTTTTTCTCAATTGCCTTCACCTTAAAATAATCTTTATGCCACAGTGATGCATTTTGACGTCACATACTCTGAATGTCCTCAGAATAGTTGCAAAAATTTTTGAGATAATTAAACATCATTTTATAGATGAGATATTAATCTCAAAATTATCTACCAAAGGTAAATAAACTGGTTAGTGGCACTGACTGGATTCAAAACTTGGGATATCTGAATCTAGACAACTCTTAACCACTTTTCTGAATGCCTAGGGGGTGTTTGCAACTGCTTTGAGGGGATTCAGGTAATTAAAATATTTGTGTTTGCAGCTGCTTTGAGGGGATTCAGGTAATTAAAATATTTCACCTTTCCATCAGAAATTAAATATTCATTTCAATTTGGTCACACAAATTAACAAGCACATTAAATGTGTTTGCTCTGGGCTAGAATAATATCATCTCTGTGCAAAACAGTGATAAATTATACTAATCAGAGCTCACTGTCAAGTATACCTTTCTTTTGTTAATAAAACTATAGACCACTTATCTCTTAAAAGATGAAGTCAGTGATCCCCAACTTTGTATCATCAAGGACACTTAAGCCTAATCACTGTATTTGTGGTGTATTTTTTCTTCCAAAGAATATAAGTTACTTTCCTTGTCCAGTTAATGCAGATATTTCAGAATGTAAGAATAAGACATGAAGCTGTTCTTTCTGAAACAGAATTTAACTCAGAATCCCAAGCTCACACAGACTAAAGGGTCCAGTGCTTTCGCTTTGAATTCAAGTTGCTTCTGGGCATTTTTCTACCCTTTGGCATTTCTCTCTCCAGCTTAATTGGACATCACATTTTAACACCCTCAGGTCTGTCTTAACACCACTGTTTTCTAATTATCTCATATTCCCTGAGCTTCCAGCTTCCAGTTGTATTGGTTCAGATGCTTTCAGATTGATCCCTATGTTGTACCATCTGCAAATTTGATTGCTACACAGTTTATTCAAATCTATCATTTGAATAAAGATCATTAATAAAGGAAGAAAAGAAAACAAACAGGCCTATACTGGTCCTGCCTCCCACTTCCACACCCCCAACTCCCAGCCAGTTCCCTTCAGGCCCAGGCACAGTCATTTATCACCAGCCCATGTTTGTGTCCCAGGAGCCTACCTTGCCGTGTGGACAGGGCTGACATCCAAGTGTTCCTCTGTTTGTCTTATGTAAGATCATAGGAAGAGCCATATTGGGCACTTCAGTTAATCCAGGAATAACAATCCCTCACAGTTTTATGGTACTTAAACTCAACTGTCATTTTACTTCACATGTGGGTTCTAAATATTCCAGAAACTACAATAAGGCACCAAACTGTAAGTTTTCTGAGGCTAGAAACTGTGGATATTTGTGAAGCTGAGGTGAATTTCCAGTGACCAGTCTAGGGCCTGAAGCATAGATTTATTTAACATCTAGTTTTTTTATTAGGTTGGTGCAAAAGTAATTGTGGTCTTTGCCATAATTACTTTTGCATCAACTTCATACATTCATGCTACAAAAAAGGTCCATGTCCTTCAATGGCTAAAACTCTAGTGGTAAAATTGACCTTTGTAAGCTAAATATTTTATGACAACAAATATTGCTTAGTAAGCAATTAATTTTATAACCATCAGAAAGTAAAGCATTCCTTGGTTTTCCCATCTGTAAAATGGGTGAAAGTTGCTTGTTCACAATCATTCAATAGTACACGTGTGCATATTTAAACACATACATATCTTTGAAGTAGCTGAAAAGTCACCTCTTCCCTAAAGCCTTCCTGAACTCACTCTCCTCTAATAGCTTTGGAAGTTTTTTGGTCCATTCTCATAATATCTTGTGTATATTTCCATTTTCACTCATAGAAGATGCACAATACACACACAAAGTAGGGTGTAATGTTTTTTCAGCCAGCTTGTGAATGTGAGCACAGAGTCAGCATGTTATTTCTTGGTATAATCTCCCTCCATGCCTGACACACCACCTGATTTATTTGTGTTGTCCTCCAGATAAATCAATTAAGTTATTTAGCACTAGGATGAGAGCCAAACTTCAATCTGTAAGTTCAGGGCTGTCTCTACCATGTCATAATTGTCATCTTATTTCCATTTTATTAGACTACAGCCCATGTTTAGTTATATTCTTCCATGTTTCTTGGATCCACTTCTATTTCATCATTATATGGTTAGAAATTGAATTGTGAAGCATGTTTATTGTTAACTATATTATAAATTTATTCTGAGATTAATTAGTACATGTTTGCTAAACACTGTATACTTCTGATGCTTTGATGCTACTCAATTAAAGAAACTTTTGTTTCTTTAATCAAAAATGCTCTCTCAGTTTTGAAAGCATTCATGTTTATTAAGTCCATGTCATGGGTTCTGTCCTAGAAATATCCAGTGCTTCCTAAAAATATCCAGTGTTCCTCAGTCTTGTAGTCTGTCCCCAGGTTGTAGGAGATCAGTCAGGGTGGTGGGAAAAGTTATAAGAAACAGTTATAGGGAAAGATGCAAACCTTCTTGGAAGGCCGGGAGGTTTTGCAAATGCTTCAGTAAAGAATTATGGCTGAAGGCAGCCAAATTCTCCTATCCGGCTGCTGAGAGCAAAGGGCAGATAACAAGGGCATGTAAAGGAGATTATCTAGACAAATTTGTTTACTTCTGTCTCCAGAAATCAACCTTTGATCGTTTGCATGCAGGGCTGCTCTCTACTCGGGGTCGACACTGTTTATTACACACAAATTGTGTTTGCTCCAAGCCTTTGTCGTTAAATCTGTACTAAATAAATGTGAGTGGGGCCAGCTTATGGGGGCAGCACTCTCATCGGCGGTGCTGAGCCGTGAGGTCCCCTACCTGCCCTGTCAGGCAAAATACTTGTGTCAGCATACTTCTTTCATCCGTCACTCAGCCAGAGTCTGTAAGACAGACTCAGCACTAGGTCACATTTTGAAAGAGAAAATAGAGCGAAAAATCAGTCAGCTTTCCAAATTTGTTTTTAAATTATTGACAATAAACAATATTATGTGACATATGTCACATACAAATATTATTATGTGACATATTAGAACATGAGATACTTTCACAAAATGATTTAGGATTTAATGACTGCCACATCAAGTAGAGATAATTTTTATCCACCACAGGTATATTCTATTATGGAGTGATTACATCACTCAACACAGGACATATTTTCCCCCAGTCATTAGTTGTCTGAATTTCAATAGCTTGCTTTATAGGTTAGCTCAGTTGACTAGACCCTCATGCTAAAGAATCCATCATTATTACACATTAAACTCAAAGTTAGATGACTGTATACCTGGGTAGAGAGATCATACTACATATTCTCTCATCCACAATCCTTGAGATCCTGCATTTTAAAATACTTTCCAAATGGTTCTAATAGTCAGTATATCTGACACACGCCTAATCAACACTAATGTCCTTTAAGTGTAAATGAGAGTCTTGAGACTAAAAGGGCCAGGGTGGTTCATTCAGGGACATACTCTGAGACTCAGAGCTGAAAACAGATCAGTAGTTCTTGATTCTGAAGCACACGGAAAACAAAGAAAAACAAAAGAGTCGAAAGTCAAAGGTGATTCTAATTATCAGTGAGGATTGAGACTCAATGAATAAGATCTAAATCTGATTCCCATTCTAGTGCTCTCTGCACAAGTAATATATCTCTTTAATTTTCAGCTCCTTGTTTTTGGAATTTTTGGTCACCAAATTCCACAGATAAAACTAAAATAGATAACAGATCTATATGTTTAACAGATCCAGAAGACAGGATTCCTCCCATGGTAGTTTGTGAGATGACATTGATAAGACACAAATTGAAAATCAAGTAACATTGATAGAAACAGTAAGAAAGTCACTTTTATTTTTTCAAATTTTTTTCTGATATGTCAAAGATAAAGTCAGATAAAGTCCATTTGAAGTTACTGTGGTATTATTTTATTTACCAGTATCTTTTTGTATGAAAGAGAATGAGGAGGCATTGGCAGAGGGTCAAGTATGTGTGAGTTCGTGTGTCTTGCATTGTATTTATTTTCATAGTTCCCTTTACTTATAGAAAGTAACATGATAATAAGGTAAAATTTTCTTTTAAAATTAGCTTTCAGCAGTCTACTTTGGGAAATATATTTTAATGTCATTAATATTAAATATTAATTTTTTTAAATAGTGTCAGGCTTGTGAGCATTCAGGAAATCATTGCAGGAATAATAATGACTGTTACCGAATATGCTTGTCCATGCAATCAAAGCCTTTGACACTTCATTCAAGAACTCTCTTGTCTGTTACATCGAGGATCATGTCAAATATTCTTAAAGGGAATCTTCTGTTCCAGTAATTTTTGTGATAATCCCACCATATGTTACTATTTTGGAAAACTTGATAGAGAGATGAAAATATCAAAGTAGGCATATGTTTTTATGAAAGTTTCAGAAAAGTATGTTTATTTTGACTTATGTCTAAATTAGATTCCTAACAGCTGAATGAAATGTAAATTAGTTGTTTTTGTTGCAGAAGATAGACATTCCATAAAACATGGTATCAATCGTCTTAAAAGTGCTTTATTTTGGTCTGTGAAGTGATGGCCGGCATGATCACTCTTACAGCTGATAAGAATGAACACCAAAAAGTGTTCAGACACTCAGGACATAACGTGGAAGTAGTCAGGTCGTGCATGTCCTTTCAATCTTCAGGGTTTTTGTACCTACCACTCTCTCTGAACAGAAATCTTTCTCTTCTTCCTTTCTCCTTTTTTCCTAACCTGCATTTCTGAAAAGCTCTTCAGGTAATTTGGATCATCAGGCAGGTGGGAGTGACTGATCTAGTTCAAACTTCTTCATCTATAAAAAATAAATTAGCACCCACACAAAGCCTCCCTGATGCCACTATGTCAGATCTCTAGAGCACCCTGCATTCTTTTACTTTCATAGGATTGACAAAAATCACAACAAATCACAAAGTGGCATATGCTGAGAACCTATTAAAGTATTTAAGATTACTTTTTTCACTTAAGTTCCTTGAGCACAAGACCATGTCTGTCTCAAGCATCCCTTTAACCCATTGCTTTCCTAGAATCGGGTGTGGTACATGGCAGATACGCAATATATCAGTGGTCCCCATCCTTTCTGGAAGCAAGGACTGGCTTTGTGGAAGACATTTTTTCACGGATGTAGTGAGGGGGTGGGTAGTTTCAGGATAAAACCATTACAACTCAGCTAATCAGGCAGGCATTAGATTTCCATAAGGAGCACACAATCTGGATCCCTTGCCTGCACAGTTCACATTAGAGTTTGTGCTCCTATGAGAATCTAATGCTACCTCTGATCTGACAGGAGGCAGAGCTCAGACTGCAATGCCACTCACCTCCTGCTGTGCCTGCCCAGTTCCCAGCAGGCCACGAACCACTCCTGGTCTGCCTCCTGGGGTTTGGGGACCCCCGCAATATGTGTCTTCTTAATAAATCTGCAAAAGCCTTTCTAATTCTATAGGGACCGTGACCATTAACACACAATATTATATTGGAAGGTGCTTTGGACTGTCCAGAGTGTTAAACGAATGTAAGGGAGGGGTGAAACTTTAACATAATTGCCAATATCATTTTCTTCTCACTGACTTACTCAGGAATGTGGGTTACCTGACTCATGGGTTTCCTGCACTGGAAGACTTAAAGCACTACTTCTGAACAATATAGAAAATGGACTAGATGTATAAGTACCAAGCACCTAGCATAGAATACAGGTTATTATCTAAAATTGTGAGCTAATCCAGAAGCTGCAGCATGTTAGTGCCTGAAGGAGTAGAAAAAGAGACAGCATAGGTTTTTATGATGGAATTGTTGCTAGATTTAGCAGATGAAAATTCAGGGCAACTAGTTGAATTTGAATTTCAGATAAATCACACACACACACACACACACACACACACACACAAACATATACATGTACACTTGGCCCTCCATATCTGTGAGGTTAACATCCATGAATTCAACCAACTGTGGATGGAAAATATTTGGGGACAAAAATGGATGATTGTGTTTGTAGTGACATGTACAGACTTTTTTTTTCTTGTCATTATATCCTAGATAATATAGAACAGCTATTTGCATACCATTTACATTGTATTAGATATTATAAGTAATCTAGAGACACTTTAAAGAAGACAGGAGGATGTACATAGGTTGTATGCAAATACTATACTATTTTATGTAAGGGACTTGAATATCTGGACATTTTAGTATTCATGAAAAGGGGATGTGTTCTGGAACCAATTCCCATGATGTTGAGGAATGACTGTGTATAGTATATGTGTATCCTATATTTTTAAAAGCTCTATTCATTTTATAGCTAAAATTTACATTTAACCAGTATTAAAAATGAAACTTAGGCATATCTTAAGAAGTGTACTTGAGCACTCAGCAATCTATGAATCCGGCAGCACCAGACTGCAAGCGGTTGGGTGGTTGAACTCCACTGGGGAGTGCAAGGAAATAACTTTTATAAGGTGTTCATAGAAACAGGAAAAAATATTTGATTGGTTAAAGTGGAAAGTCCTTAGAGTTTAGTGGGCAGTTTTTAATTGGTGAAGTCTCTACTTAGCAGTTAGTTCATGGTTTTTGGATGGGTTCCACTTAGTTTTGTTGTTTTGTTTTGTTTTTCGCTAGGGTATGAACATTCACTGTGAGTTGAGTTTCAGTTTGCTTGATTAGAAACTCAAGTTGCTGGGGCCCTCTCAGCCTAATGGCCTCCCAATTAATTATTTTAACACTAGGCATCTTACTTTTCATCAGGTACACCTGTACCATAGGGTAACAATAACACAACAATAACAGTAAGATACTGTCTAGAGCGTGACTTCACTCAGGAAGTTTTGGCCAAACCTTAGAGGCAGGAATCCTCTTTGCTGGAGACTGACTAAAAACTGGAAAGGAGGAGAAGAGAGTGTTGAAAGAAGGGTCTTAAAATGGAGAGGTTAGTGAAGAAGATATCTTAGTAATTTGTTTATCCTATTGGTGAAAGTTCTAGCTGAGTTACAAATATTGGCAGGAGTAGCTTCCATAGAAGTCTCTGGTGTTTACAAAATAGCTGAGGGGAAGTAAGGAACATTCAGTGTTTCAGTTGCCTTGTAGTTTATCTAGACACTAGGTCACTTGCTCCTGGGATTTGTGGGGATGAGTTGAGATGAGTTTCACTCAGTTAACATGATCCCAGGGTGAAGCAGTTGGCCTGTTGAAGGGTAGAGAGGTGTTTAGAAAACAGCTTTAATTTAACAAAACCAGAACAAATATCTTATTGGTCCTTGACCTGAGCTTAGGTTAATTTTTGTAAAAAATAACAAGATTACAACCCATGCTGTGGATCATTTAGCTCATATTTTAGAATTAATCATAGGGAACAAACTGAAAGATTGATAGACATAGTGGAAAACATAAATGAGCAATCAGGGTCAGGAACTTTGGCTAAGACATATGCTGCATGCAAATTTAATATAATAGGTATAGCGAACATTTTGATGTTTACCCTGTGCCCAAACTGTTTCCAGAGCTTAAGTTCTATTTTCATGGCAGTCCTTTTGGAGAAGGTATTATCGTTTTCTCCATTTTATTGATCAGCAAATTGAGATTTAAATAGGTTAAATAATTTACTTAGATTCCCTGGCCAGTAAATGGCTGAGTCAGGATTTAAACCAGGTAGTGGCACCACAGCTTCCAAGGGATAAACTATCATTTTATTTTTTCTTGAGTCATACTATCTGATATGGTTTGGCTGTGTCCCCAGCCAAATTTCAACTTGAATTGTATCTCCCAGAATTCCCACATGTTGTGGGAGGGACCCAGGGGGAGGTAATTGAATCATGGGGGCTTGTCTTTCTCATGCTATTCTTGTAATAGTAATTAAGTCACATGATATCTGATGGGATCAGATAGTAAATTACTAGGGGTTTCCGGTTTTGCTTCTTCCTCATTTTCTCTTGCTGCTGCCATGTAAGAAGTGCCTTTTGCCTCCCACCATGATTCTGAGGCCTCCCCAGTCATGTGGAACTATAAGTCCCATTAAACCTCTTCTTCTTCCCAATCTCCGGTATGTCTTTGTCAGCAGCATGAAAAAGGACTAATACATTACCCTGTAAAACTTTATTTAATTTTAACCTTTGATTGCAACATGGGCAAAATAACACCCTTCACATTTCTCTCAATGCTACCTGAGAAATAAAAATAGTCCAAGAGGAGTGATAAATGGCAATCAACACTCTATCCAAATGTAGGGAGATGCAGAGATCAGTAGGAATTATAGAACAGTGGCAACCCCTTCCTCATCTGAAAAAGAGCAGTTTCTACTCTTCTCCAGGAACTTATAGCGACGTATAAGTGAGGGCCAAATGGTGACAGAAACTGATATTTCAAGGGATTAAAGAAATTCAGATTAGTGTGTAAAATCTCTTACTGAATCTCCACAAGAAGGCAACTGATTTCTGTTTTTGTTTTGTTTTGATTTTAATAGCATGAAGCCAGCAAGGTATAACACGCAACTCAGATCATGTATGAGTTGGCTTTGGTCCAAAAAGGACAGTATGAGACCTCAACACTCTGTTGTGCTAAGCAGACCTGGATTGCTTTTTTCTGAACTTGCGTAGAAATTCTGGAGTGACTCCACACCTCTTTTAGAGATACTCTCCTAGGATGTGGCTGGCACAGGGCCCCACTTCAGCCTGGAAGCAGAAGAGCTAATCAGACTACAGTGTCACATTTATCTCCATTCCCCGATGTGGCTGAAGGTGGAACTTTCATTTACAATTAAATATTTTTGTTTAATCAAAATCAACGAGGCCAAGTTGAATAGGCTCTTTGGCCAATATTCTTTTAATGCAAAGTTAGTAAAGGACTTAACTAAGCAATGAGGTCATTCAAAAGAGTCTATTTATTATGAATAACAAGTATTCTGTGGAACTACTTTCTAAAACTATGATGAAATTTCTACTTAAAATTATATTGTTTGATTTTCTCTTTTCCTTATAGATACAAAAGTGCAGCCATTCTGTGATCCCTTTGAAAGAACTGTCTGTGCAAAAAATGAGACTTAGGCATTAGCCCAGTTATTTCTATCACGTACTATCACCAATTCTAATGTACTTCACCTGGAAGATAAATATCAATTGGTTTTCAGGGGAGGGAGAAAAAGTTAAGTTGAAGCTGATGTATCCTTTGAGGGGAAAAGACAACAACAAAAAAGTCATGTAACAATGTAACTTTTTTTTTTTTTTTTGGATACGGAGTCTTGCTTTGTAGCCCAGGCTGGCGTTCAATGGCACCATCTTGGCTCACTGAAACTTCCACCTCCCGGGTTCGAGCGATTCTCCTGTCTCAGCCTCCCAAGTAGCTGAGATTACAGATGCGCACTGCTACACCCGGCTAATTTTTTGTACTTTAGTAGAGACAGGGTTTCACCATGTTGCCCAGGCTAATCACCAACTCCTGAGCTCAAGCAGTCCACCTGCCTTGGCCTCCGAAAGTGCTAGGATTACAGGCATGAGCCACCATGCCAGGCCAACAATTTTTTTAGAAGTATTGCTCACTTTTATTTAGTAGTCTTGATTCTTTTTTTTTTTGACAGAGTCTCGCTCTGTTGCCCAGGCTGGAGTGCAGTGGTGCGATTTTGGCTCACTGCAACCTCAGCCTCTTGGGTTCAAGTGATTCTCCTGCCTCAGCCTCCCGAGTAGCTGGGACTACAGGCATGTGCCACTGCACCTGGCTTTTTTATTTTTAGTAGAGACAAAGAGTCTCACCATGTTGGCCAGGCTGGTCTTGAACTCCTGACTTCGTGATCGGCCTGCCTCGGCCTCCCAAAGTGCTGGGATTACAGGCGTGAGCCACCATGCCCAGCCACTCTTGATTCTTGAGTAACTCAATTAAGTAAAATAATTTCTGGTTTTAAGTGAAAAAAAAAAATTAAAGCTCAGAGAGATTAAGTAACTTTCCTAATATTGCACAGCAAGCTAGTAGGAAAACTAAAATGCAAAGCTCTCTTTCTCTCACTGTGCTCCCTGCTTCCTCCCTGAACCGCATCACTAAATGCATCAATCTTAACCTTAAAGAGGGCTGCAAGACACAAGGATTCACAAATACAGAATTGAGTAAAGAACTGATTTAGAATCAGAAAACTTGTCACAACAAAATATAAATTTGAGAAATGACAAAACATACAAACATCACAAAATACAAGAAGAAAAAAACATAATCTTTGTATAAAATGACTGGTACACCTATAGATACAACATTTTTTTCATAAAAATTTTACTCTCTGCCTCTTTTAATGACAATTATTTTTGTGGGATATTTTTTATTAGAGAGCATAAAACAATTAAATCAGTCTCCCTTCTAAAATAGTTTAAAAATTAGATTAATTTAAAAATTAAAGCTATTAAAAAATTGTCACTAACTTAGAACAGCCATTGTTGGTAATATCATGCAGATATTTGATATTGTTAAATTTGGGGGAACCTCTATCAGGTTCCTTTTACATAAGTTTAAATGCTCAGAGCATTTTGAATTTTTCCTATACAATAACTGGTTTTAAATACTCTGAATTGAATATAGCTGGTACATATGGAAATGTATAGGTTACATGATTAGCCTACTTCTGATACCGGTGAACTTTCTTTTGACTAGATATTGATTAAGAACTGAATACTTTGATTTTCACTGAGCATTGCTGATGATTGGGAAATGTTTCACAGGCTAGATTCTGCATCAGAATCATTCAGCATTGCTTCTTCTTCACTATGTAACTCTGTCGCCTGGCATTGTTCAGTAGGACATGTTCATATAGTAATAGGACCTCTACATTTGCACTTTCCTACCACAACCCTTGCTGAGTTAACACAGCAGACAGAAAGGTAATTCCCAGAAGCCACTCCCACACCAGGGCAGCCAGCATTAATTAAAGCTGATACAGAAGTAACTGAAAACCCCTTAAATATAAACTATTAAAATTGAATGCATTCCCAATTCAATTTCCTCTCAACCAGATTCTCAAGTCAAATGCTAGCTCCCTAAAAACACCATCCAAAAAACTTGGTGGTTTTTTTGTTTTTGTTTTTTTGGTTTGTTTGTTTGTTTTTTTTGAGACAGAGCCTCACTCCGTCACCCAGGCTGGAGTACAGTGGCTTGATCTCGGCTCACTGCAACCTCTGCCTCCCGAGTTCAAGAGATTCTCTTGCCTCAGCCTCCCGAGTAGGTGGGATTACAGGTGCCTGCCACCATGCCTGGCTAAATTTTTGTATTTTTAGTAAAGATGGGGTTTTGCCATGTTGGCCTGGCTAGTCTCGAACTCCTGACCTCAGGTGATCCACCCGCCTTGGCCTCTGAAAGTGCTGGGATTACAGACATGAGCCACTGCACCTGGTCCCAAAAAACCTTGTTAATAAGACTGAGGGCAACATCTGTATACAGTAAGTTTTTGGAGTCTAGTTTAAGACAGATCTTTCAATGCATGTCTGGATTAAGGTTGAATAAGGATCATTATATAATAGTTTAGGATAGATGGGCAGAGCAAAATGAGAAATTCAAATCCAAATTTGAAAAGTTTTAAAAAGTAAATCAAACTTCCTAAATTGAACAGTTTGATGTTCACTCATTTTTTTCAGGATGTTCCTGAAACTAGCAATATTTTTTTGTGACTTTTATCTTCCCGGACGAGGGCCTTCTTTTTTTTTTTTTTTTTGAGACCGAGTCTCACTCTGTCGCCCAGGCTGGAGTGCAGTGGCGCGATCTTGGCTCACTGCCAGCTCCGCCTCCCAGGTTCACTACATTCTCCTGCCTCAGCCTCTGGAGTAGCTGGGACGACAGGCGCCCAGTACCATGCCTGGCTAATTTCTTGTATTTTTAGTAGAGACGGAGTTTCACCGTGTTAGCCAGGATGGTCTCGATCTCCTGACCTCGGGATCTGCCCACCTTGGCCTCCCAAAGTGCTGGGATTACAGGTGTGAGCCACCGTGCCCAGCCGACAAGGGTTTTTTTAGAATAGAAAAGTTGTGTTACTGAAGAGTAAAGTCATGTTATTGAAGATGTCCACATAGAAAGTCATCGTCATGTAGCTAGTAAGATGTACAGGTGTCAGTGATTTGGGTTCTTACCCCAAGTATTGATCCATGGCCTCTCCAAGAACACTTTCAGGACCAAAGGCAAACTGAATTCTTTGTGATTTAAATCATTTACTTTAGAAAAATTACAAAAATGTGTGGTTATGTGAACAGGTGCCCAAGCAACATACAACACATGCCCTTCAGGATTTGGAAGGGGTTTAAATTTCCCCATGAAAGCGAGGTTTAAATTTCCTTAGCTTCATGATAAATGTCAGGAATCAGACTCTTGACCACTGTGTTATCTTTCCACGCTCCCACCCCACTCCTAAACCTGATTAAATAAAGAGGTTTAGCTCTAGTCTAAGGCAGGTAGATTGAAAAACAAACTTGAGCAAGGCTGCACTAAACCAAAGGCTATATTCTAAGAGAGCCTGCAATCTGAATTCTGTGATGGTAAAAAAGAACCATCACCCTTGACTCTTCTCCTCTCCAACCACCCCTGCCAGGTCCTTTTAATGGGTATACAGTTTTTTTCTGGTAATGTAAGCACTTCAGTAATCAATGTCCTTTAGCATGGTGAATAGATACAAATAATACCATTACTTATTAATGACAGAAAAGTGCTAGGATGAAACATGTTTCCCAGCATATTTTCTGATTGGATGCAGAGAGATTGCCTTTTATCTTGACAACTAGGGCACCTTACTTATTTCCTCTGCACCAGGCAGGAGGAGTATGATACACACACACACACACACACACACACACACACACATACACATACACACATACACATTTCTCTCCTTTTGATCTTATGATTCTTACTGAATAGACACTTACTTGGCCTAAGTCAGTTAACAAATATGAGATGTGCAATGTCCTATCTAATTTTTATATAAATTTACTTCATTTAACTTGACATTTACAACATTACTATAACATGGTTCTTGCATTTTTACATTTTATAAATGAAGACATCAAAATTCAGATAGTTTTACTAATTTGTCCAAAGGACTCAAAAGATCTGATTTCAAACCTCAAATCTAAATAAATTGCATTTACCAACATGTCATGACCCCTTTACAGAACAATATATGTTTTGTCAGATTAAAAATAAAGGCTAAGTAGTTTTATGTGTGTTTGTTTGTTTATTCATTTATTTATTAGAAAGTTTAATCATTTTTATCTCTAACCATTAATGAACATTAAAAGTGGACTCTAATTGCCTGGAATGCTTCAAGTGATCCAGCTTGCTTGACTCACTTTATTTTATAAGATTTAAGGAAAACTAGCTTAAATACTCCTCTTTACTATACCTGGAACATCTTCAGAGATTTTTTTTTTTTTTTTTTTTTTTGTGAAAACAGTTTCCCTTTTTTATTCCACACATACTGTACACACAACCGGAGAAGGGCAACAGCTACTCCATTATTATTTTTTTGTTGTTGTTCAGTGATGTAAGCAGCAAGTCAGCAGAGATTTTTAGAGAGCTGGTATTTTACTTTGTTATTCCCTACTCCAATTTCCTGTTTTTGCTAATTCTAAAATCCCATCATACCTTGATTACTGCCTTTTTCTGTCTTTCTGGTAGCAACTCAAATGCATAAGTCAAAATTTTTCATCCTTTTATAAAAACTCTGATAGCAATTATTGATAAAATTTTGGTGTACAATTCAATGTGAACTAACATTTTTAAAATGTTACTGATGGTGTTATGTATGTGCTGTGTGTTTGCATTTGTGTCTGTGTGTACACGCACACATGTAAGGTTGGAGTGGAAGTGAATGAAGGTTACAGTTTTGTATTGCAGAGAATATTAAGCAATAGGCTACTCTAAAATTTCAAGTTTTTGGCTTTTATGGACACCCTGTCCTCAAAAACTACCCTGCAGCCATGTTACCAGGCTCTTCTCTTTGGCTCACTTGCTTCTCAATCTAGTTGAGTTCTTCCAACTCTTATTACACTATTGGGGAATGTATATTCTTGTTCACACTAGATATTAAATGGAATATAGAGGAATATTGCTAGCAAGCAATGTACTGTATTAGAAAATTTCCCTAAATAGAGTATCTTTTGCTTCCCACAGAAGTCACGTCACTTTAGAGAACAAGCAGCAGGGATTTCTTGTTATTTGAAGAACGGCATACACACGTACACACACATACACACGTACACACACATACACACACACATATTTGTGCTCCACTACAAAAAGATACAGTAGTAGTGTTCAATCCAGGTCTCCAGACTCCCTGTCGATGGTTCCTAAATTAACCCTGGCTTCCCTTGAGCAAGTTAATTTAACTTCTTTTTCTTTCTTTTTTTTGAGATGGAGTCTCACTTTGTCGCCCAGGCTGGAGTGCAGTGGCATGATCTCGACTCACTGCAACCTCCGCTTCCCAGGTTCAAGCGATTCTCCTGCCTCAGCCTCTGGAGTAGCTGGGATTACAGGCGCGTGCCACCGCTCCCAGCTAATTTTTGTATTTTTAGTTGTGATGGGGTTTCACCGTGTTAGCCAGGATGGTCTCAATCTCCTGACCTCGTGATCTTCTTGCCTCGGCCTCCCAAAGTGCTGGGATTACAGGCCTGAGCCACTGTGCCAGGCCTTTCTACATCATTTTAGATTACTCTTTAAAACCCTACTTTTAAATAATTTCCATGTTAATATTTGTGTAATAACACTTGAAACATTTATAAAGTGTAGTCTCTGATCCTATTAGCCATAGAGTAATCATTATCACAGTATCTTTGTATCTTGTAAACTCTAGCTTTTGACAGCAACTCTCTAGTTTTACAAGTGCAACTATTTTTTCAGCACAATAACTTATTGGCTACCCGGAAACATATGGTAATCCAGGTGTAAGCATCCCTGGATAACTGCCTAAGCAGCTGAATCCCCACCTGGTATTCTGCTTTTGGCCTGTAATCAAATTCTTCCTACATTGGACCACTTGTTTTTTTCTAGATACAAATACAATTTTACTTTCAGATAGAGTGTTTGACAAGAATGGCATTTAAATTCTGTTGTCTGTTGTATCAAAACATGTATTTATATTTGTTTATTGGAGTTGTTAAAGATAGATGATACACATAGAAGAACATAATTTTGGACCACTACCTCATACTATAAAGGCAAGTAATTAAAAATCAATCAAATATAAAGAATAATGTTGAGGTAATATGTGTATTGTATGTGTGAGAGTGTGTGCCTGCATATGTGTATGTGTGTGTGTGTGGTGAATGGACCACTTTTAAAGTTCAGGAATGCGTAATTGTTCTAAGGCTCTTAGTGCTTCTTGGATCTCAGTGATGATAAAAATCATTTAAACTGGGAAGGAACGGACTTCAAAAACAAATAAAAAAGAAAAAGTGGATTATTGGTTTCCACTCACTGAGATTTCTGGGTTATACACTGTTTCTACTGAATCAGAATGTCATTTTCAAAATAAGTCTGCAAGTGATATGACAACTGCTTATCAAGCACTTACTAGACACCTGGAAGAGCGTTGTTTCTACTCAATAGCTAACTTTCATGTGAGCACTGCCCTCTCTGTGATTTTAATCCAGAGGAATTGTAAATTATTACTTATTTTTTTTATTAAAGTTGATCTCCTCAAATTTCAATCTGAAACTGGTGATTCCTCAAGGATCTAGAACTAGAAATACCATCTGACTCAGTAATCCCATTACTGGGTATATACCCAAAGGATTATAAATCATTCTACCATAAAGACACATCCACACATATGTTTATTGTGGCATGCTCACAATAGCAGATTTGGAACCAACCCAAATGTCCATCAATGATAGACTGGATAAAGAAAATGTGGCACATATACACCATGGAATACTATGCAGTCATAAAAAAGGATGAGTTCATGTCCTTTGCAGGGACATGGATGAAGCCAGAAACCACCATTCTCAGTAAACTATCACAAGAACAGAAAACCAAACATGACATGTTCTCACTTATAAGTGGGAGTTGAACAATGAGAACACCTGGACACAAGGAGGGGAACATCACACACCAGGGCCTGTCGGGGGGTGGGGGGCTAGGGGAGGGATAGCATTAGGAGAAATACCTAATGTAGGTGACGAGTTGATGGGTGCAGCAAACCACTATGGCACGTATATACCTATGTAACAAACCTGAACGTTCTGCACATGTACCCCAGAACTTAAAGCATAATAATAATAATAACTAATCCTTCATATTATAATAATAAACTAATTTAAAAACTAATCCTTAAAATATTATTATAATAATTTAAAAACTAATAATAATAATAATAATAAACTAATCCTTGTGTTCTACTCTTCAATTTACAACAAAAAGAAGAAAGACTGTGGTCTTTGAAGGCAGATCAGAATCCAAACTCAGAAGAGTCTCTCACTTATTTTTACCCTCCTTGTTCTCAGCAGTAAAATAGGGCAAAAGCAATTCTCTCACAAGGGGTATATTGAAGATTAAGTGGAAGTGTATAACTCGGTATTTATCCTACTATAGACATCTTGTTAAATAATACTCTTGTTTGTCTATTGGCAGCCAGAGTTTTTGAACAAGTCAATCTCTTGTTTCAGGGAATATAATAAAAGGGTCAGTTACTATAATACTAATTTTATTAAAAATTTCTTTAAGAATATTAAAATTATATTCAATATCCAATGTTAAGGTGAGAACTTCCTGCAGTTCCACACATCACCAATGGATTTGTTTAATGTTCTGAGATATTGAAAATCCTATTCCCAGTTTCCTAAATAAGACAAATAAAAAGTAACAACACCTATATTTCATAAATGTCTATCATTCAATTATAATTTAAATTAACCATCTATGAGAGTAGTGTAATCTCAGCTACATAAAGACATCAAAGGTTAAGTGTGAAAAATCCTTAGCAAAAGAGTTCCATTTCATCCTAGGCATTGTAGACACAAAACAAAACAACAAAAAAATAGTGGCTTAGTCTCTCCCCTACCCCCTAAAATAAATAAAACTATCAGGGCACCAAGTAGTGTATTCATTGTTTTTGACACCTTTCAAATATGAAACACAGAGTAAGGTACAATTAACTCTCATCCATTATCTTTTGCTTACTAGAAAGTTTCCAGAGTTATAACATTGATATAATGGTTGGAGACTTTCTAAGCTAATTTTGCTTTCTTGTAAATGATAGTGAAATTAAGAGAGTTCGCTGTTTTTGAATAACTAATGAAGTGATTCTTGAACTTAGCCTCTATATATCATTCTCTTTAGCACATGACTGTGACTGACTTTCCTTTTTTTTTCCTCTGTGTGCTCCCTTAGTTACCCTGGACACACATAAAAGAAGAATCCATTCTCAAAAAAAGAGGGAATTTTTTTTTCTATTAAAAATCATAAACCCATAGGAAGTCCAGAGCACAATTTTCCCACTGAGTCAGCTCCATGTCCAAGCTTTCCACTTCCTCTGGGTGCCTGGGAGTTCCAGCTTCCATTCATTGATCTCTTTTCTCCCTTTGTCTTACAGCACCTAATACATTTCTTATACTCTCCCATCTCTCCCTCCAGGGTCCTACCTCCACTCTCATGATAGATCTTGATCTCCCTACAGTTTGATCCTAGTTCAATCCCAGGAATCAGTAAAATGTCCTTATCTTTTTATCCCAAGAGAATTGACAGCTTTTTCTGCATTTCAGAGTGACTTACACACAGGATGAGGAAACCTTTTCCTAATACTTTATATTTCTCAGATAGTAACTTCAATATATTAAGAGAAGAACTTCTCTGTCTATTTATCGTATCAAAACCACCATAAAGAATGGAGAACAATGTTGAGTGGAAGAAGAGGGTTAGAGAACAGTATATGCCTTGGTGTCAGACACTTATACTTGATTTGAAAATTTTATAACAGACATTTCTCAAAAATTGCATTCACTGTTTGGGAAAAATTACACACATGTACATGCACATGTGACATACACACGGTGTACAGTATTGTAAAAGTGACCTCCTCCAAAGAATTGAGTTGGAGGAATGCCTAGACACTCTGCTACAAGATAGGGTAAGACAGAAAAAATGCAGAAGAAAGGTAAAAGCACAGACTGGAGCTATATTCTTGCTTACCAGTTGTAATACAAAACCCATAAATATTTTATTTGAGTGTTTTTGTTTCCGATAAATAAAACCCTCATTTGGAATGACATTTTATCTTATGTCCTCAAGCATTTGCTTGAGTTCCTATTTTCTTTCCCAAATAAGTAAGAAAACAGCCCCAAGGTCTGTGAACAATTTACATGACAAAAACATCATCTTCCAGCCTGGAACCTTCCCAGGGGTTTTGATTGGAAGATGAGTGAGGTTCATTCACAAACTTCAGAGACAGGTAGGAGAGTACAAAGCAAAAGTTAAGTACCCTAATAAGGTAGTTCTGAAGGCTCATCAGCTCCTTGTGTTTGATAGGTTCTGTCATCATTGCCAACACAGCTGCTAAAAAAGGCTGCCAAAGAGGAAGAAAATGAAAGAGGTTGAGACTGCAGTCAGAGAAAATATTTTACACAACTTGGCACCATCTGCCATTCTCTTAATCTTTGTTCAGCAAGGAGTGGATTGAATGTGGATGTCGACAATGACTCTGACAGCTAACTTTTTTGTTGATATAATCATTAAAACTTGCTGACCCTGCCTTACTAAAAACGCACAGAAGAGGTAAAGAGCATTCCATATTTGTTTTTAGCTATGTTTGCTTTGAAGGAGTCTTAAGAAGCAAAACAAACCAACCGATCAAACGAACAAAAACCTAACTTCTATTATTTTATTTATGTCACTTTAACTTACTTGGCTGTAAGAGCCTAATGGAGGTGTAATAGGGATTTCTTAGCAGGCAGAGAATAGTGCAATTGATTCTATGTATGAGCCTTCTTGGTGTGTGTGTGAAGTGGGAGAGAAGAAAGGGAGAGAGGTGGGGAGAGAGAGATTAATTCAGACTCTACTAACAAATCAGCATGTTTTTGGCCTCTCTCTTTAATTGTATTAATAAAAGTTGCCCCAAATACACGTGATGTTTCTTGTGATATACTTTCCTAGGTAACAACATTATTGATACCTTTCCTCTAGCAGATAAAGTGAGTTAGTATAAGTAAAGACAAGTTTTTGTTTGTTTGTTTGTTTTTGAGAAGGAGTTTTGCTCTTGTTGCCCAGGCTGGAGTGCAATGGTGCGATCTTGGCTTACCGCAACCTCTGCCTCTTGGGTTCAAGTGATTCTCCTGGGATTACAGGCATGTGCCACCGGCTAATTTTGTACTTTTAGTAGAGACATGGTTTGTCCATGTTGGTCAGTCTGGTCTCGAACTCCCGACTTCATGTGATCTGCCCTCTTCGGCCTCCCAAAGTGCTGGGATTACAGGTGTGAGCCACTGCACCCGGCCCGAAGACAAGTTATTAAGGAATGAGCAGGATATGTGTAATACGAAGGACAAGTAAATTTGAGGTTTTGTGGGTTCAGTGAGTCTCGGGGGTAGGAGAGTTTTTGGCCTCTACAGAGTTAGGGAGAGGAAAGAATCATCACCACTTGTCTATCCTTAATTCCCAGAGTCAGCATGTGCTTGAATCTTGGAACTGGAACCCAAAGCTACAGGAAGGAGCCAGGGATTGGTGCTCTTTTCCTCTCCTTGAGAGGATGCACAGAGGCTCGACAGCAACGTGTCTGTAAACCTGAGAGCATGTGTATGGCACTTCACACCCAATCTGCCACCCTGATCATCCCCAAGATTGTTCTTGTTATCCTGGTTCCTAGGATCTCAAAGAAATGCAATGGCTGCTTTGGCCTTGTTTTGCTGTTAGATGCCCTTCTGCAAAAGCCAGAAAAAGTGATTACTGGGTAATTCCCTCTGCATATTTGGAGGGATCTAAATCCCATCTTTACATCTTCCAAATATATAACCTTACACAAATCCAACTATACACATAATTCTGTTTTCTCTTCTGAAAAATGAAATTAATAGTAATATACGTTTCTCAGGAGTTTGGGTGTGAATGTGTAAAAGCAAACCATAGGCACATATAAGAGAAACTTCAGCAAGCATTCATTCATCTGGGCCCCAGAAACACAGTTTCATTTCATTCTGTTAAAACATCCTGATAAAAATGAGTTAGCTAATTACTTAATTACTTAGTTACTTACTAACTAGCTTCCTTTCTTCCCTCCTTCCTTTTTCCTTCCTTATTTCCCCCCTCTTATTCTCTTCCTCCCTCCTTTCCTTCTTCCCCGCCTCCCTCCTTCCCTTCATCTTTCTTTCCTTTCTTCCTTCCTTAATTCCTTTTTCAAGAGGGTATTACCCAGTAATCGTTTTTAACAGAAACTATATCAATTTTGTAAAAAATAAAAATTATACTATAATATCTCTCCAATCCTGATTTATAGCTAGTAGTTGGTCTCAGTTTTAGGAATAAATCAGAAATATGCAATGAAATTCAGCAGCAGCATGAATCTAAATATTTCACAGTGAGCTGTTCTTGAACTCTGACATGGAGACATTCAGTCATTATGCCTTGACTGCAAAATAATTCTACAACAATATTACTGATATTTTTACATAATCTAGGATGAAATTATTTTGCTTCATTAGCTATTAAATTTAATTGATATATTAATAATATTTAAATACCTTACCCTCTTCAACCTCTCATTTTTAACAATTCTAAGGCATTTTAAAATTTAATGCCATGAAATCAAAACATTGACTCATTTTTAGCTTATATATTTTTTCTAGTGTACTGTTGAAATACACAGTATGATTAATACAAAGAATAGACTTCAACATCATCTTTTGTTTGATAATAAAATTATTTCACCTAAAACACTAGCTGTTGTTCTGAATAGTTAATTGGCTATGTCATCAGCTGTCAAATTAGTACATTTTATGAAGCTTTTATCTTGATTAAAATTTTTTTCAGAAAATAATTAAAACCTAATTCACTAGTCTTTGTTGTAATGAATTATCCAGCAGTCAAATTTATAAAAATATCTCTAAATATGTCTGGTCTGATTGGCTTTCTCTATTTATTAAATGACACAGTGACTTAGTCTAGAGTGTGCTGAATCCAAATTTTGTGATTTATTACTAAAAAAAAAATTACAGAATAGACCAAAGAACTGTGAAATGAATTCTTCTATTTTCTCTGTTTTATGTTAGCAACCTGTAAGTGTCATTTGAAATGGAAACACAATATTCATTACCCACATCTGATTTTGTTTTAATTTTGAAGGCTTATATGCAAAAAAATATTAAAACCTAGAAAGTTTTATAAATAGAATTGATTATCTTGTTTGTTTTTATATAGTGGTATAATCCCTTTTCCAGGTTGTCATGTCTACCACTCATGCCCTTTGGTGAAATAAATCTAAAATGATGAGCTTGTTACATGAACTGGTTTTGCTACTGATGATAGTGATCATGGGCATCAACTACGTCCAGACATTGCATCCATAAGATGATACATGTATTTCATGTATTAGCTCACTTTATTTTATCCTAACAAAACATTTGAGATCTCTGCTTTTATTATTTCAGATTTACAGAGATTAAAACTAAGGCTTAAAAAATAGCCAATGAATTTCCCTAAGTTACACCGAATGTGACTTTTCAATGATTAAAACCATAGCCAGTGTGATGCCAAAATGCATCCCTTAAATGGAAAGCCTAGTTAACTAGTCTTTTCACTCTGTTGGGTACAGAGCATAGACTGGGTACCATTTAAACACTATTCTTGTCTTTCTCATCCTTGACAATCTTATCCATTGTTTATTTCTAGTTTGTTGTTAGATTTATACCAGCTGTCAATAGACTATTTCTAAGATTTTGTATTTGCTTCTAATTCCCTAGAACTTCAGACAGCCTGCATGGTTAAAGCTATTTTACACTGCATGAAGCTCCTTTTTCTCCCTTCTTTTGTTCCATTTCTTCTTAACAAGCAGTTTTTATTCTTTCAGCAATAGCCACTGCTGCATGATTGAATTTGAAGTTCAACTTCTTGTTTTCAATTTGGGGCTTCTCATCCTCAATTTGAAACTTATTGACAAACTTCTTTGCTAAGCACTCTGTTTCCCATCTCTCAAAGGCCTGTTCTCTGCAGCCTTTGAATGTCACCTTTGCATGAGTTTGTATGAGTTTCTTAACGTAGAGAATAAGTATAGTTTTTTGTTTTTTGTTTCTTTTTTAAGTCCTCATGAGAAACTCTTGCTCAGTCCTTAGATAAAGGAGGATATCAGGAAAACGTGTTGGCAATCCTTTTTTCTGTGTGTAAAAATGGAGCTGTATTTTGAACTTGAAAGATGAAAAAAAATTACACATTGTTGTCGATGACCACAAAAGCTTAAATATTAAAAATTTAAAATGAAGTAATAAAACCTTAGAAAAACGTAGCATTTTCAGCAAATTAGCTAAGAACACTCCAACCAAATCTCTTTATTTTTTAACAGGTTCTTTGAGATATAGTTTATGTAGCATACAATTCATCGATTGTGTATACAATTCCATGTCTTTTAGTATATCCACAAAGCTGTAGAATCATCACTAAAATCAACTTTAGGACATTTTCATCATCCTAAGGCGAAAGCCCCATACCTATAAGCAGTCATTTCCTGTATAATGAAGAACTAACTTTACCTTTAGTAGAGACAAGGTTTCAGTGAGGTCTGGCCTTTGCCTTCAGCTACTGTGAAGTGATCTCTAGGCCGCTGTAATGTCCTACCTGATAGGAATGTCTTTGTTTGCCACTGGATAGTGGATCAATGTGATATATGGTGAAGTCTTTGGGACATGTCACATCAGTTTCAACCTCTCAAGAAGTTAGAGACTAAAGGTATCATCCCTAACCTCCAAAAGGGTCTAGAAACTCAAGATCAGCCACGCAGATAGCACATGATGAAGCCCCAGTAACCACTTTGGACACCAAAGTCTTGGATAAGTTCCCTGCTTGGCAAAACTCTGTATTATCACACATCATAGCCAGGAGAAGGTAGCACTGTCCAAAAATCCACAGGAGAGGATAGCAGAAGCTTTGCATTTGGATCTCTTTTAGACTCTACCATATGTGTCTCTTCCTTTGGTTGATGCTAATTTATATTCTTTTATTTTAATAAAACCATAACCATAGATATGGCATTTTCCAGAGTTTGTGAGTTGTTCTAGCAAAGTATTGAAACCGACTGTTATGGTGGGGATCCCCACAATGTGCACTTGGCTGATCTGAAGTAAGGGTGGTCCTGAGACCACCCAAATTTGCAGATGGTGTCTGAAGTTAGGGCACTCGTGTCGGGACTGTTCTCTCAGACTGTAAAAATTGTCTGACTCAGCTGGGCTTGGTGGCTTACGCCTGTAATCCCAGCGCTTTGGGAGGCCGAGGCAGGCAGATCACCTGAGGTCAGGAATTTGAGACTAGACTGATCAACATGGAGAAACCCTGAAACCCTGTCTGTACTAAAAATACAAAAATTAGCCAGGCATAGTGATACATACCTGTAATCCCAGCTACTTGGAAGGGTGAGGCTGGAGAATCGCTTGAACCCGGTAGGCAGATGTTGTGGTAAGCCGAGATCAGGCCACTGCACTCCAGCCTGGGCAACAAGAGCGAAATTCTGCCTCAAAAAAAAAAATAAAATAAATATATATATGTCTGACTCATCATATTTTTCATTTCTCTTCAAGCCCTTTTCACCCCCAGGCCTGGGAAATCACAAATCTACTTCTTGTGTCTATAGATATACCTAAAACATTTCATGTAAATGAAACCATATATGAGGTAGTCTTTTGTGAATGACTTCTCTTAATTAACATAGTGTTTTCAATGTTCATATTGTATAAATACTTCATTCCTTTCCATGGCTGAATATTCCACTATATAATTATATCACTTTTTGTTTATTCATTCATCAGCTTATAAGCTTTTACATTGTTTATACCTTTTAACTTGTAAGTAGTGCTGCTGTGAACATTTGCATATATGTTTTGTTTGAACAAAACAAAAATCTGTTTTCAAATCTTTAGTGTCTATGCCTAGAAGTGAAGTTGCTGGGTCACAGAAGAATTCTATGTTTAACTTACTGAGGAACTTTTTACCACAATGCCTGCATCATATTCCTTTCTCACCAGCCATATATAAAGGTTCCAATTCTCCACATCCTTGAAAACACATTAATTTTCATCATTTTGGTTATAGCAATCCTACTGGGTAGCAAGAGATATCCTACAGTGTTGATTTACATTTTCTTAGTGGCCAATAATGTTAAGCAACTTTTCATGTATTTAACAGCATTTGTATATCTCGGGGAAATGTCTATTCATGTCCATTGTTCATTTTTTAGTTGAGTTGTTTGACTTTTCACTGAGTTATAAAATTTCTCTGTACCTAGATAGTAGACCCTTATCAGATATATGATTTTAAAATATTCCCTCAATTTTATCAATCTTTTCACTTTCTTCATGGTGTCTTCTGAAGCATAAAAGTTTTTAATTATGATGAAGTCCATTTAGCATATTGTTTTTACTTTTGTCAATTGTAGTTTTGTTGTCATATCTAAGAGGCCTTTGCCAAATCAGGGTCACAAAAATTCATGCCTATATTTTATTCTAATAATTTTATAGTTTTAGTATTTATGTTTGTGCCTATGATCTGTTTCAAATTAGTGTTTGTATATGGTGTGAGCACTTCATTCCTTACATGTGGATATCTAGTTTTCTCAGTACGATTTATTGAAAAGGCTATTTTTTTCCTCATTGGATTGTCTACCACCATTGCTGAAAATTACTTGACCAAAAATAAGAAGATTCATTTCTGAATTCTAAATTCCATTCCATTGATCTATATGTCTATTTTTATCCCAGTACCATGCTGCCTTGATTACTCTAACTTTGTAGCAAGTTTTGAAACAGGAAAATGTGAGTACAACTTTGTTCTGTTTTTCAAGATTGTTTAGCTCTTCTGGATAAAATATTCTAGTCTTAACAGCTATTGATTATTTCCTTTATGTGAATAGATGGGTGGGAGATAGATGCATAAGACATGTTCATCTACCGAATACATGCAAATCTACCTTACTCAGTCCCCACACATATGCGGTTCCAGCGAGGTTGTAAGTTACAAGAAGACAGGGATGAGTAGATCTAATTTATTTTCAGAACTACAGATTTTACCTCTTTCTTTTTATTACAATGACTTGCTTCTCTGAGTTCAAAGAGGAAATATTACAACCTATTGGGATGTTACTGAAGATTTCATGTAAGTGGTGCTATGTCATCCACATTTTAAAATAGTGCTAAGATTTTGTTGGGATGAAGAGACTGCTTGGGCTGGAATATGGAATTAAACAAAGAAAACTCATACCAAGACTATCCAGAAATGATGAAGCAGCTGAAGCTAAGATGTTCAACCTAACAGATGATAACAAATAAAGGGAATATGAATAATCCTAATTTTCAACATGATTACTGTTTCATTGAGAAAGTACTGTAAAACATAAGATCCAATTAGTATTGCAAATTGAAGAAAGGAAAAGTAACTAATATTTATGGAGTTTCTACTATGAGCCAATGCTTTATATTCATCTCCTTTAGCTGTTATCTTAAGAAATAGCTTGCAGGATAAACATTAACAACTTTTACACATATAAAGGTGCTAAAGTTCAGAGGGGCTAAATTACACAAGGTCAAGCAGCATAAAAATATTTCACATGGGGTTGTTACCTAAGTCTTTCTGATTTCAAATCCCAAGTTCTTTGAGTGAACTCTGATGCTTGGGAAGGTAATCAATGGATAAAAAAGTGCTATAGATTTGTTGAAAATAATTTAATGAAAGGAGCATGGGCTAGGAATGTATTGACCTAGAAAGCAGATTTTCTTAATGGAACATCATGGGGTAGGACATGTAAATGATACTTGCTAGATTTTCTTTAAATAAATGAAGGAATAAAATTATATTTCAAAATTAGGTGATTCAACCCAAAATAGATATCAGTACTTCATTGTAAACTGTCTATAATATTTGTTTTGTTTCACATATGAAGTCATATCCTTTCCTGTTATATACCACACCCCTTTTCAATAGAATTCATTCACTAGAAATAACTGACAGTCTAGGAAAACCCAAACTTCAATATTAAAATATTTTCAATTCTATGTGATCATAGGCAAAATATAGTTGGAAAGAATGGAAAAATATTCTGAAACCACTAACAAATATACTCAGCTAATTATTGAATTTTTATTGCAGTGTAAAGGAGAATGTATTTCATTTAAAAAATAACGTACAGCTCATGACACACATTCCACAGTTCTTGTCATATAGGGATGCACAGTAATTGTCAAGAAGCTAAGAGAAAAATGAGTAGTGTATTTTGACATTTGTCTTCCGGGAAGGGGGATATTATTAATCATCCCTGTGGGTATTTTGATACCTTGCAGACTAAGGAAGTCTTCAATTGTGTATAATTTGGGGCATACCCTAAATTAGCAGTAATCTATTTGTGGATACATCTTTTGTACCAAGGTAATTTCTCACTTCCTCAGTTATTTAATTGTACTTCGAATAGTTCTGGCAGGCAACTCATTATGTATTCTCCTCACTATATTTTATTTTTGTTATACAAAGTCACATTGAAATGAAATGGATACATGCACCATTGACTTTAATAGGATTTTGCATTGTAAGAATAATATACAGATACACTGTATTGCATAGAAATATCTTGTGGGGAAAGAATAACACGGTTATTGTGGAATTCCACAGCATATAACTCAACAGGCAGTCATAACTACAGGTTTATAATTTTCTTTAGGGGGAGGTAAAAAAATTGAAGGACAAGTGGTTTTAACAAGCCCATATATGTAATATTCACTGTAGAAAGTACTATCTGGAATACTTTGTAAATGTGAAATTGAATTTATATAATGCAAAAGAGTTAAGAAAACTCTAAAAACTGTGTACTGTATCCAAAGTCATTTCTGACAAGTGGGAAACTCATTTAACAAAGATTTCTTTGTAACTACAGTTTCAAAATCATTTTGTAATAATGCTCAGAACTCGATAAAGCATCAGCAGTATAAGCCAATTGACTTTCTTATGAGGCTAAAAATGAACAAAACATGACCACAATAGAGCAAATTAGTTATTCTGGGAATTAACAGTTATTGAGCAACTTTTCAACATCTCTCAGGATGAACAAATGAGAGATGGTAAAGAATCATGTTTAAGAATATGTGCTTCTGAGTCAGGTTTCTCTTGCCCCAATCTACCTGATTGGCCTGGTGCACACGAGTTAGTCTTCTAAAAACTCCATTCCTTAATTGCAAAATGTTGATAATAATAACATAATTCATAGAGTTATTAGAAGAAAAATATACTGTGATATGAAAAATGATTACCATAATGTCTGGTAGACAGTAGGTTCTGTACAGTCCCTCTTATAATTCCCCAAATGTACACCACAAAATACCCAGGCTACAATATACTGAACTGCAACAACAAACACAAGTGAACAAATAAACAAGATATGATGGTCACATTTGTTTGTGAATCTCAAATGGGAGGTAATATATTGAAGCATTTACTCATGGACAGTCAGATGGTAAAGGCTCTGATAAGTACTGCTATAATGGGAATGTTTACTCTCTTGAAACTGAAGTGTATTAAAATAAATTTATGGAAAATAGAGAAAAAATTAAGTAGCATTTTGTTATCCTTTGTGTGACAAATTGCTGTTTACATAGGTATCATCTATTGTTGTACGTAGACAAACCTTTTTTAAAGAATATTTCCCAGACTATTAGTTGGCAACGTTGTCATGAGAAAAGAGTCACATGTTCAAACAATTTTAGTAAAAAGCTCATTTAAATTAAAGTTATCAGTTTCATGTTTGATCTCCTTATGTATTTCCCAACAGCTTTGTGACTTTCTTCACAGTGATGCTTAAACCACAGGATATGGGATTGTGTGTAAGCCCATTCTTGGTGTTTTATAAAGAAATACCTGAAGCTGGGTAACATAAAGAAAAGAGGTTTAATTGGCTCACGGTTCTGCAGGCTGCGTAAGAAGCTTAGCAGCATCACTCTCCTTCTGGTGAGGCTTCTGGTGACCTCAGGAAGCTTCCAGTCAGACGGAAGCCAAACGGAAAGCAGGTGGTATCACATGGCAAGAGCAGGAGCAAGAAAGAGAGAGGGGAGAGGTGTCATGCTCTTTTAAACAACCAGATGTCACGTGAACTCAAAGCAAGAACTCACGTATCAAGGGGATGGTCCTAAGGCATTCATGAATGATCAGCCCCCATGATTCAGTCACCTCCAACCAGGCCCCACCTCCAACATTGGTAATCACATTTCAACATGTGACAGCATTCAAACCACATCGGGTTGAGAGACAGGAGAATAATGAATTTGGGATAAAAACAGGAAAATGCTGCTTTTATTGGAGATACTTCTTCCATGTAGTCTGCGCCAGGTGGTGAAATAACTGTGGAATATTGCATTGTTTTTCTGGACAATGCTCTTTTTAGATGCAGAAACACAATCTGTTGTCAGTGGAGGCTCTTTTCCAGTCATTAACTCATCTTAAAACTTGAGGCAAGCATTTAGAAGGAATCTTCTACTTTCATTTGCTCCGTCTGTTTTTGGCCATCCTACACCCTGACTCCTCTGAAACTGCCCCCATGAATCCCCAGATAACTATCTAACATCAGGGGTTTTTTGTTTGTTGTTTATTTGTTTGTTTTTTAGAAATCCTTTAATTTGTCCATCAAGCCCTCAGTTCTATTTTAAAAGGAGTAACCAGAAATTTTAATAGTAAACCTGTTGCTGGAATTCACTCTTTTGCCTTATCTTTGTATTAACTTCCTTTAAATAGTTGTTACCTTAACATTCTTGAAGTGCTATTCTCTTGTCAAACTGATACACCGAATCTTTAATATCTAAGTAGTGTTTTTTTTTCAAAACACAAGCTCTAATTTCTTATTGTTATATTTTGCAGATATTAAATTGATCTGAGAAATTGTCATAGTAGTTCCCAACACTGTTTCTGTGCTCTTCTTGTTGATGACCAGTGATGGATTGTGGGTAGGTAGCAGTCTGTGGACTGGTCCCCACTGCCTTCCCATGTCCGCACCCCTGCCCCACGGGGTAGTCATTTCCTGCCTTTGGCTGGAGGGCAGGAACATTGATGGGTTGAGGGCAGGCTGTGGAGACTCCTCCCCATGGTATGGAGTAGGGAGCAGAAATACCCACGTGAGTCTGATGTATGTTCTCGCTAAGATTTAGCATTTCTTAGATAGCAATTTTGGTACTAAGGAGCCGAATCTTCTCAAGTTGGTTTTGGATACAGGACTCATCATCTGCAAAAAAGCCACAGTGTCTTTGTAGACATAGGAATGGCAGAGCCAGGGCAGTTTCAAAGACCTCAGCAAGCCAAGTTCATGGACCCTCACTTAGGGCTCCCATGTTAACGTGGCTCAGCTTCCAGCTTTCTCAGTCTTTTGGTATAAATCATCAAGACAGAGATTCTGTGGATTCAATGAGGGAAAAGGTTCACCTCAGTTCAGTTAGCGGCAGGCCAAGAGATGTTGTCTCAGAGCCTGCTCTGCTCTGTAGGGGCTGTGGAAACCAACTCTCTGAGAAAGGAGTTAATGGCAGCCTGGGACCCAGGGCAGATCTGGGTTGCAAGCTGCTGCCTGTGAAAGGTTCAAAACAATATGCCAGTTCTCAAGGAGGAGAAAGGGTTTTTTTTATTTTTATTTGTTTTTTTAATATTATACTTTAAGTTCTGGGATACATGTGCCGAATGTGCAGGTTTATTACATAGGTATACTATACGTGCCATGGTGGTTTGCTGCACCCATCAACCTGTCCTCTAGGTTTTAAGCCCCGCATGCATTAGGTATTTGTCCTGATGCTCTCCCTCTTCTTGCCCCCCACACCCCGACAGGCCCTGGTGTGTGATGTTCCCCTCCCTGTGTCCATGTGTTCTCATTGTTCAGCACCCACTTATGAATGAGAACATGCAGTGTTTGGTTTTCTGTTCCTGTGTTAGTTTGCTGAGAATGATGGTTTCCAGCTTCATACATGTCCCTGCAAAGGACATGAACTCATCCTGTTTTATGGCTGTGGGCATTTGGGTTTGTTCCAAGTCTTTGCTATTGTAAATAGTGCCACAATAAACATATGTGTGAATGTGTCTTTATAGTAGAATGATTTATAATCATTTGGGTATATGGCCAGTAATGGGATTGTTCGGTCAAATGGTATTTCTGGTTCTAGATCGTTGAGGAATCACCACACTGTCTTCCACAATGGTTGAAATAATATGTAAGTAGTGTTTTTTTCTAAATCACACTTCCAGGTCCCACATTTCCCATAAGGTTAACCTCTATATCTACCTCACATCCTTCCCCCACATTTAAACTTAACATTCCCCCATACAGACTCATCTTCACCTCTTCCCTTCCTCTTCCAGTTTTTCCAGTAAAAACTATTCCAGTAAAGCTGGATACTCATCTTTTCTTAGCCATACACATGAAAAGTGATGAAATCTTGTCATTTCTGTCTTCCTACTAGCTTCCAATCTTCTTCCCACTATGCCAGTTCGGCACATTATTTAATTCTAGCCTGAACTATTTCCTTTATTCTCCTTTCGTCAGTTTTAAAACTCTCTATTCCATTGCAGATGTTTTTGTCAAATTTCTTTGTCTAAATCATATTTGAATCATGATTTATATCATGTCAAGGACTCCTCTGCCTACAAGATAACACTGGGATATATCGCCTAAGAAACTGCAGCTTTGCTCTCTTTCTTCCTCCCTCCCGGATGAGCCTCACTACCTACCAAGTTGCCCCATTGTCTTACTCACACCTGGTGCTTTAGCTGTTCCACATAGACTGGGCTCTCTCTCACCTCCTCACCTCTGCACCTTTATTTATGCTGCTTCTATGCTTGGAAAAGTTTTCTACCACGGTTTATATGGCTTTTTTTTTTTTGAAGACAGGGTCCCACTCTGTCATCCAGCCTGGAGTGCAGTAGCACAATAGCACTGTAGCCTCGACCTCCTGGGGGCTCAAGCAATCCTACTATCTTAGCCTCCTGAGTAGCTGGGACTACTGGTGTGCACCATCATGCCTGGCTAGTTGTTTTGTGCTTTTGGTAGAGATGGGGTCTTGCTCTGTTGCCCAGGCTGGTGTCAAACTCCTGGACTCAAGTGATCCTCTGCCACAGACACTCAAAGTCTTGGGATTACAGGTGTGAGCCCCTACACCTGGCCATGACAAACTTTTATTCCTCATATCAACACAAATTCTGTCTCCACTTTATGATTAACAAAAAAGAATCACCAGTCAAGTTTATGACTACTTTATTTTGGTCCTACTGCATATTCTACCTGTATTCATGAAAAGGTTTTTTTTTTTTTTTTTTTTTTTTTTTTGAGACGGAGTCTCGCTCTGTCGCCCAGGCCGGACTGCGGACTGCAGTGGCGCAATCTCGGCTCACTGCAAGCTCCGCTTCCCGGGTTCACGCCATTCTCCTGCCTCAGCCTCCCGAGTAGCTGGGACTACAGGCGCCTGCCACCGCGCCCGGCTAATTTTTTGTATTTTTAGTAGAGACGGGGTTTCACCTTGTTAGCCAGGATGGTCTCGATCTCCTGACCTCGTGATCCACCCGCCTCGGCCTCCCAAAGTGCTGGGATTACAGGCGTGAGCCACCGCGCCCGGCCGAAAAGGTTTTTCTTATCCTCACCAGAAAATAGATGCTTCAACAACATAGTCTGTTTTTACATAGTTTTTTATTCTTAGACTTTAGCATGGCCATAGCACAAACTTTTTGAAGACACAAGCACACACACACACACAAAAAACAGAAAAACTGTCTTTGAAAGAGATAGTTACATTGAAGAAGAAGATCTTAAAGGGAGATAATGTGATTTTTAATTTAAGATGTAATGTGTACTGTACTTTATTTGAATAGACTATTTATTTAAAGAACAATATTCCTTGGAAGTGATGAGTTCCATATCTCTGGGCAAAATAATCAAGTTAACACTTGTTGACAGTGCTGTAAAATAGATTGCAGTATTTCTTAATGTGTTAAAAATTTAATAGTCGTTCCATAAAAAGATGATGTTTGAGGTAAATACATGCAGCAAGTTATGCATTATCTTTTTGATAAGTAATACTTTTCAATTTTCTTATCAGTCTACTTTAGTATAAAGGCAAATTAATTAATGAATTATTAATTGGTAAGCCTACATATGGGTAATTTTAGGATACATAAAAATTATTAGTGTACACATTTTGATTACAGTGTGTTACAATTCAAATTAAAAATATCAAAAGATGACTTTTGAAGAATCTTAAATCCTTCAGTGATTTTAAACTTAATCTTTTTTTTCATTCAAGGCTCAGCACCCTAGTCATTTTTCAAGTAGGATTCCAAAGTCAATGTGAATATTAAGCTTATTAGGTTACCTAGTTCAACACTTATTTTCTAAACTCTTATGTTTGAATGGCTAATACCCACGTTAAGGAAATTTATCTTGAAACCTTGTAGGATCAATTTATATTTAGAAGAACAAACAAACAATTCTTGTTCCATGATTTTCCTGTTGTCTAGTTTTTTTTGTGACCTACCTAGGAATACAAATGCTCTTCAAGTTGGCTGCATGGTTATGAAAATGCATGCAACAGTCTGTGTGCATGTGTGCGTGTGTGTGTGTGTGTGTGTGTGTACATATCTAAAGTGAGAAACAGTCTTATGGCAGTTGTCATAGCAACATGACATTGTTTCCCAAGGAACAAAGTAAATAATCACTTTTCACATGAAACCCACAATTGTCTTGACACTGTGACATTTCCCCCTAAAGCAAGCCCTTAAATCAATAAAAGGTTTCAGTACCAAGGAAGGGAGCTTCATGATTTATGCAGTTTGACGTAAAATCCACACCAAAGCACTTGAATACTTCCAAAGAAGAGACTTCTCTGGTCAGTTATGCCTCCACTGCTTAAATTCTGAAGAGACGCTTTCAATAGATGAGGCCAAAAAGGTCACACTCATTCATTCATTCCTTCTTAGATATTTTCAGGCGTCCTTATATGGATATTTTGGCCAGTGCTACAGAAGTACCCATATAACTGCACTATGAAATGGGTCTTAGATGGTGTCATCCATGTAAAACCGAAGAAAGCTTTAGGGTTCAAGGTGCTGTTGAGATCTCAAAGGGATCTCAGACATCATCTATACTAGTGTTTCTCATAGTTGTTCTATTCTCACCTTCAGATTTTTATATATGCTTTTAATCCTATAAACCATAGTTTACATAATTTTTAAGACTTTTTAAATTTTGGTGCAGATTATTTATCTCAATATCTAGTTCATGAGAGGTGCCATTCAAATGGTAGTTATAATTATTTTTAATACTTTTTCTTTTCTCCTTTGAATCACAAGCCAGTTAAACTATCAAAACATTGAGATGGGGAAAACAATAGCATCAAATCTAAACAAAAAAGATGGAAAGCATCCCTTTTCCTGAATCCTACATGAAGCAGTCCAGAGCATCGTTTTCCTCATTACTATGATGTGCATTTAACATAATTCTTACACGTTTTTCCTAGAATGTTTAAACAGTTTAGAAAACACCATCATTTCTTTTTCCTAAGTACTTTGTTAATGAGTTAATAGAACAATATGTGTGATGTGTGTACTAATCTGACAGTTATTTGAACTTTGTTGCCCGCCCCTTCATTTTCTTTTTTTTTTTCCAAAGACTGATTGCTATTTAGGCACTCTGAAGTATTTTCTAGGGAGTTTAACTAGCCGTTGTAAATTAAACTATGAGGCCATGTCCTCTTAATTGAAGCAGAAGTGCAAATAATTGACCTTACACTTAAATATTTCACTTTTAAGTAACAGTGTCCCATTCTGGCAACACAGACAAAAATAGCCTTTTGTCAGTATACAGTTTGCTTACTAAAAGCTCAGTAAAGACTTATGAGAAGAGGATATATTATATAAACATATGCCACATTGAAGTTACTCATATTTATATTCCTTTTATGAAGCATCACAATCTCTGGTTCCTTAATGATATCGTTGAATAACATTAGGACGTTAATCAACTTATTCATTTCTCTTTTCTGATAATAATCATTGGTGATCATTCTTTAAATTATGTTTTATAGTCATTTGCCCTAGCAAAAAAAAACAAAATTTTGATGAAAGCATGTTTTACGTCTATGGGCAGAGAACTTTTCAATTTCAATTAAAAATGATATTAAAAAGTGTAAATGCTATAGTAATTTATATATTTTGGCTATTCAGAATGATTCCATTGGTGGCTCTGAAACTCTGTTTAAATAGCATCCTTGAGCTTATAATGTGTTTACTAAACAATTGAACTGATAGTTTTTTATAAAACTGTTGTCAATTTTAGTTGGTTATTTTAGTTTCTGTTCAACATGAATATTTTCTAAACTCCATATTCTAGACCATTTTTAATGTTTTTCCTCTCTCTCTTTCTTTTTAATTAACTCAACCACTGCAACCCAAAATATGACTCATAGACCAGTTGCTTCTCCATAAATATTTGGTTACCAGAATCAATGAAATAAGTATAAAACTTGTGAGTAAGAATTCAGAAACTTTTACAGCAATATGACATTGCTGTTCCATCTAGGTAAGTGTCAATAGGGTTGCATTCAGCAGAGTCTATTGCAGTTTGGTTTTGTGGGACACACATTGCAAGCTGAATATTAGTTATGACACTTGGATCATGTACTATCCATGGCATGTTGGAAAAGGGAAAAACTTGTTATTTTTCACAGATAACTGAAGAAGCATTGGCATAATATACCTATTAAGTATTTACAGAGACGGAATCAGAAATGTTTGCATTCTAGATTCATCTCTGCTCTTTCTCTTTTGAGCCCATGAGCAACGTACTTAATTTTTTTGACGTTATCTCTCTTATTTCTAAACTTGAGATTTAAACTTCCACTGCAAAAATATAAGAAAACTCAGATTCTCATTAGACTTTCTTCCCTTTTCTGTATGCATGTTTAATGAAATTATTTTAGTTAAAGTGAGTATAGTTTTGTATTTAGTCTTTTCCACTTGAGGTCACACTTAAATATGTGTCAAGCATTTGTTATGATCTTTATAAATGTGCTTTTCAATTAACAATACAATTTTCAAGTAATATTCCATTATGTTCTTGTGTAATTTGTTTAACCAATTAACTTTTAGAGACTTTGGTATGTACAGTTTCCAGCATTAAAATAACCAAATGTTCATGCACATAGTTTTCTGTAGTCGGGGTGTTTTTTTTCTGTTTAAAAATTTTAAACTTACATATAAATCACATGTGGTGATGTAATATTCATACCATAAAATTCACACTTTTAAAGCAGCTATTCAAAGTTTTTATTCTATACTCAAAAAATTATCCAATCATCACTATTACCTATTTCCATAACAGTTTTATCACCCCAGAAAGATTATGTTTTCAGTTTCCTTAGGCATATACCTAGGAGTGGTATATCTGGGTCACATGATAAATCTCTGTTTAACATTTTGAGCAATTAGCAAACTGTTCTCCAAAGTAGTTGCATTATTTTATATTCCTACCAGCAATGTATGAGGGTTCCATATTCTCCACACCTTAGTCAAGATTTATTGACCTTTTTTTTTCATTTAGCTATACTAGTGAGTGTGAAGTGATGGATTATTTTGATTTGCATTTCCCAAATTACTAATGATGGGCATCATGTGTTTATTAGCCATTTTATGTCTTCTTTGTAAAGTTGCTTACTCAGATCCTTTTCCCAATTGTAATTAGTTTTTCCTTTTACTGTTATGTTGTAATGGTTCTTTATATATTTTGAATACTATACCTTTATGGGAATATTGTTTATAAATATTTTTCCCATTCCGTGAGTTGGTTTTTACTTTCTTGATAGTGCCTTTCGAAGCACAAAAGTTTTTAATTATGATGAAATCAAATGTTGTTTTATCTGAGAGGGTTTTGTCAAGCCAAGATCATGAAGATCCACTCCTAGGTTTTTTTTTTTAAGGGTATTACAGTTTCAGCTCTTGCATTTAGTCCTATCTTTCAGTTTTAATTAATTACGGTAGAGTGTCAGTAAGAGGTCCAATTTCATTTTTTTTTTTTTGGCATGTGAATATTCAACTGCACCAGCACCACTGGTTATAAGGACATTTCTTTCCCCATTGAACAGTCTTGGCACGGTTGTCTAAAATCAACTGGCCACAGAGGTGTTGGTTTATTTCAGGACTCCCAATTCTACTCCATTCATCTATGGTTATATCCATGTGGTCAGTACTATACTGTCTTGATTACTGTAGCTTTGCAGTAAATTTCAGTATTGGAAAGTACAAGTCCTCCAACTTTATTAGTTTTTAGATTTCATCTATTCTGTGTCCCTTGCATTTCCAGGTGAATTTGAGGATCAGCTTATTAATTTCTGTGAAAGGACGGCTAGAATTTTGATAAAGATTATGTTGAATTTGTAGATAAATCTGGATAGTATTGTTATCCTAACTGTATTATCTTCCAATTCATGAACATGATGTCTTCCATTTATTTATGTCTCTAGTTTTTTTCAACAGCATTTTATAGTTTCAGTTCTTGAACTTATTTTGTAAAATTAATATCCTATGTATGTTATTACTTTTGATGCTAGGGTAAAGAAATTGTTTTCTTAATTTTATTTTCAGATGGGTTCATTGCTGATACATAAAATCTATTTAAGTTTTTATATTGATCTTGTATTCTTCAACCTCACTAAATTTGTTTATTAATTCCAATAATTTGTGTTTGTGCGTGTGTATATTCCTTAGAGTTTTAGACATACAAGATCACGTTATCTGTAAATGAGGGTAGTCTTACTTCTTTCTTTTTTTTCCAGTATGGAAATTGGTTATTTATTTATTTATCTGTCTTTTTGCCTTAACTAAATTCTCAGTACAATGTTAAATAGAGGTGTGGAAGCAAATACCTTTGCTTTGTTCTGACTCAGGGGAAAGCTTTATGTCTTTCACCATTAGTTATGATGTTATTAGCTATGGGTGTTTTAAATATGTGCTTTATCAGGTTGAGAAAACTGACCACTATTTGTAGTTTGTTGACTTTTTTTTTTTAATCATGAAAACGTATTGGATTTTTAAGTACGTTTTCTGCAGTTAGTGAGGTATCTATGTGTTTTTCTTTTGGTCCTTTATTCCATTAATACTGTGAATCACATTGATTTATATTCATATATTGAATGTATTTTCTTGTGCATTCCAAAAATAAATCCCGCTTAGCCATAGGTATAATGGTGTTATGTTGCTGAATTTGGTGTGAGTATTTCGCTGATGAGTTTTGCATCAATACGTGTAAAGGATATTGCTCTGGAGTTTTCTTGAGATATCTTTGTCTGGTTTTGGTATTAGCTTAATATTTTCCATTTTCTTCCACTTTATAGAAAAGTTTGTAAAGAAATGGTTTTAGTTCTTTTATACATGTCTGATAGAATTCGCAAGAGAAACCATCTGAGTCTGTTTTACTTTGTGAAAAGTTTCGATATCCTTACATATTATAGGTTTATTATAGGTTTATTCAAATTTAAAAAACAAGTATTTCTTGACTCAGCAGCTGTGTCTCTAGAAATTTTTCATTTCACCTAGGTTATCAAATTTGTTGGCTTATAATTATTCACAATATTCTCTTATAATTTCTTTTATAGTCCTCCAGTGATAATGTCTCCTGTTATTCCTGACCTTAGTAATCTGAGATCTCTCTTTTGCCTTTCCACTGCCCCTCCTCCTTTTTCTTTGTTTTTCTTTGTTGTTGTTGTTGTTGTTGTTTTGGGGGGTGCAATCTAGCTAGAGATTTATCCATTTTTTTTTTCTTCAGTGTACAAACTTTTAGGCTTTTTAAATTGTCTCTGTTGTTCTTCTATTTTTTATTTTATTTATATCCACTCTAATATCTATGGTTTCCTTTCTTTTTATTGTTTTGGATTTAGTTTACTTTTCTTTTTCCATCTTCACTGAAATGTTAGGTTATTGACTACAGATCTTTTATTTTTATTCTTTTGTAATATAAGTGCTTAGAGCTATGCATTTTCCTCTAAGCACTTCTTTGGCTGTATCCCACAAATTTTGGTATATTGCATTTTTATTTTCATTCCTCTCACAGTATTTTCTAATTTCCTTTGTGATTTCTTCTTCAATCTATTTATTATTTAGGAGTGTGTGTTTCATTTCCACGTTTGTGAATTTCCTAAATTGTCTTCTGTTATTAATTTCTAGTTCATGTGTGTATGTGTGTTCAGAGAACATATTTTATATAATTTCAATCATTTTAAATTTATTGAGACTTATTTTGTAGCCTAGCAGATGGTCTGTCTGGAGGGTGCTCCATGTGAACTCAGAATAATGTATATTCTATTGTTGTTGACTGGAGTGTCTTATAGAGGCCTTTTGATCTAGTTGGTTTCTAGTGTTAATCAAATCTTCTATTTCTTTGTTCTATTTATTATTGAAAGTAGGAAACTGAAATCTCTACTATTAGTATTAAATTATTTTTCCCTTCAGTTACGTCAGTTTTGCTACATGCATTTTGGGACTCTGTTTTAGGTGTGATTTTCATTAGAATTTAATAACAGGAAAATGTACTTTATTGTGGATACAGTCACCAAAGTCCCAATGGTAATGAATGATTACCTAGGAGCTAAGTTAAATTTTCCTCATCCAGAGCTCAAAGAAGAGTATCTGGGGTTTCATCATGGAGGCATATTCTCTTTTTGAAAATATGCAAATAATTCAAAAGACTTCCTCCGTTCTCTCTTCCTTCTGTATTTTCCCACCTGTATTCTCTGCTACTTTTTTTCCTCAACAAACCTTAAATTACTCTTTCTAGAAGTTTTTAAATTAGTAATTGAGGCTAAATTCTTTATCTTTATATATATTACCTTCCTCTAAATTTTAAGTTCTTGCTGTAACAGATGTTTCCCTTATTCTAGCTTTATAATTCAGCACTATTTATTCACAATTTCCTGATCAAAGCTGAATTATATAACCATGGCTTTATAAGACCGTCAATGAACTCAGCTTTGCCTATGAACATAATTCTACTTTCTTAATTTTATTCTTACCTCCAACCATTTTAGGCTTCTACCAAGGTATTTACTACCTCTGCTCACCTATATGTTGGAATGTTCTGCATTGTCCCTTGAAGATTCACATTCACACTTTTGGAGTCAGGACAGTGATGTAATCTCACCTTCTGGAAAACTGACTCTACCACTTATTAGCTGCTCATATTAGCTTATTAGATAATAATAAGTTTATTAGCTTATTATTATCTATTAGTTACCTTGAATAACTTGATTTCTCTAAGCCTCAGTCTCTTTATTTGTGTTGGTAAATTTACTTATATAGGATTGTTATGATAATAACAACTCTAAATTCATTAATCCTTTTGGTAAAGTTCGTGGAAATACTAGCTGCTCAAAAATACTGGTTTTAAAAGAATATTGTAATAATTGTATTTATTATTTTAACATTTTTCAGAAATTACTCTATGATGAGCCTTCCACCCTAAGTCCCAGAATTATTGCTTCTTTATTAAATTTTGCCTCTATCCCCATACTTACACATTAAAAAATTTTAAATTTATAATATTACGTGAAAAACATCCCCCTGTGGACTGTGAACTTCATACGAGTACAGCTTATGTAAAATTCATCCTTGAACCATCAGTACAAATATCTGCATAAGTTGGTGATTTTCTTTTTTTTTATAATTAAGCAGATTCTATACTAAAAGGAGTGAAAGTAGGCATCAAGCTGTTCTCATCCTACATACCTTCCTATAAATACATTTGAGTTCTTTCATAGAGGATGTGTTTATCCCAATTTTACCACGTTGATCTTGGAAATGAAAAAAATGTTCTTTCCCTAAACCTTGACTAAGTATGTTTCAGCTCTATTCTTGAGTTCAGGCAAGTGTGAGATAAGTGACCCTTTTTTATTGAGAGGATAGATACTATGTCATTCTAGCTTTCTTGAGTCAGAATGGAAAACCACGATCAGGTCAGAATATTTATATGGGTTTAGTTGGATAGAGACTAAACATCAGGTCTATGCACTTGTCAGGTTCAAACTGTTTCCTGAAAGTCAGGTTAAAAAAATAGTACTGAATTAGAAGGTCAAATTGACTGGTATCTAGGGAACCAAAAATTGATTTATTTTACAAAAGAGGCATTTTCTTTCATTTGCTGAAAGCATTTGTTGTATGATATCTAGGGATATGTGTTTAAGAAAGAAATGAAGATCTAAGTTTGACAATGCTTTTTAAAAATGGTGTTTGATGTGTTTACTGAGATAATGGAAAAATACAGTAATTGGTTCTGATGAGTGTTGCCATTCTACTATTTACTTTTAAAATATTTATTTTTAAATGTGTTTACCGTGCTTAACAAATGTTTGGTTTTGATGATGATTTCCTGATAAAATAATATTTATTGACTGTACCTATTCCGGAGAGATTCACAGATTCAGTGAAGAAGTGTGGTTTCCAAAAATGCTGTTTTTTCACTAGCAACTCTTCTTTCTGTTATATTAATTTAAAATATTTTATTTCCACAGTTTATGTCTTATTTAACAGAAAATTACACACTATAAAATGTATGTGGTTGTCATTGCTGCTATTTACAAATATTCTAGTTCTTTTCCTTTTTTAGGTACATCGTGGGAATGTATTTACTCATCTTTTTGATGTTAAACATGACCATGTGACTTACTCTGATGAGTGAAATGTGAGCTAAAACAATGTTTGTTGCTTATGAATGGATATATCAAGATTCTATGGTATTTGGCCAGGTGTGGTGCCACAAGCCTGTAATCCCAGCACTTTGGGAGGCGAAGGTGGGTGGATCACTAGAGGTCAGGAGGTCAAGATCAGCCTGGCCAAGATGGTGAAACCTCGTCTCTACTAAAAATACAAAAATTAGCCAGGCATGGTAGTGGTTGCCTGTAATCCCAGCTATTCCGAACGCTGAGGCAGGAGAATCACTTGATCCCGGGAGGCAGAGGTTGCAGTGATCAAGATCATGCTACTACACTCCAGCCTGGGGGATAGAGCGAGACTCCATGTTAAAAAAGAAGAAAGAAAAGAAAAACAACAACAACAAAAACGAAAAGAGTCAATGGCATGAACTACTATATGCCTTTCCTTTTGTGTGTGGTTTAAAACAAGCCACATTTATAATTTCCCAGTTTCTATGAGTCAAGAGTCTAAGCATGGCTTAACTGAACCCTCTAGTTAGGGTCTCAATCATCTTGAACCAAGGTGTCAGCCAGGCTGAATTGTCATCTGGAGGCTTAAGTGAGGAATAATCCATTTCCAAGCTCATACAGGTTTTTGGCAAAACTCATCTTCCTTGTAGCTGTAGAACTAAATGTCCAAGCTTCTTGAGGGCTATTGGGTAGGGGACATTGTCAGACCCTAGAGGCTGCCAGCAGTTCCTCTCAGATAGGCTCTCCCAATATGGACACTTCTTTCATCAAGCCAGCAAATAGAGCTTCTAGAAAGCAAATCTGTTAGCAAAGTGGAGTTTCTTGATTGGTAATATAACATCACACTCTGAGTGACATACTGTGCCCTTTGCCACATTCAGTTGGTTAGTTGAAAATCACAGGTCTCACCTACTCAAGGGGAGTAAATCACTGATGACGGTGCACTACTGTAGAGAGTGTACATCCATCCACCACACATGAGCAATGCCCACCTATCCAAATCTCTGCTAGATTTGGAACCTGAGTGAGAAAGAAAGTTTTATTACATTAAACTGGAGATTACTTAAAAGTTTTGGGAAGTCACCCTCATGGCTTCTCAAAAACTTCCTACAGACTGACATAAAAAACAGGGCCTGGCTGGTCACAGTGGCTCATGACTGTAATCACAACACTTTGGGAGGCCGATGTGGGTGGATCAGTTGAGCTCAGGGGTTCAAAACCAGCCTGGGCAACATGGTGAGACCTCATCTCTACAGAAATAAAAAACAATAGTGGGAAGTGGGGGAGTGCACCTGTAGTCCCAAATACTTGGAGGGCTGAGGCAGGAGGTTGAGCTGCAGTGAGCCAAGATCGTGCCACTGTATTCCAGCCTGGGTTACAAAGTGAGATACCCTGTCTGAAAAAAATAATGACAGAAAGAAAAGAAAAGATAAGAGAAAGTAAAAAAGAAAAGAAAAGGAGAAAATGACAGAAACCAAGGACCTAGTTGTGGAAGGACTTTGCTATGAATATCCCTTTTCCCACCTCTACTTCTGCCTACATCCATCACCTTTAACACATACATTCCTTGCAATGAATTCTTTCAGTTCTCTCTCCCTCCTGGCTTTTCCTCAGACAGAGATCAACATATGCACTCTTATGTTCTTAAAGATTCCTTGAAATACACCAATCCTCCTTCAGACTCCCTAGAATAGCTTCTCTAACCACCTTCCTCACAACTAAGTTTCATGCCCGCCTTCTAATGTCCTCTGTGATAATGCATTATAATTGCCATTTATTGCTTTATTTTCTTTCCCACTAGACTGGAAGCTCATTGTGCACAGGGACCTTATGATGTTCAGAGGCGAGGGCAAGTCCTGGTATATGAGTCACTCTATAAATTTTATTAAAACAATGGAAGTTGTTAATAGTAGCATAAAAATTCAGTTAGTTCACTGAATTGGTCAGCCATTTGGCTTTATTGACTCTTTTTGCTCTGATGCCTGTTGAACAAGAAATGGCGTGAGTTTCTAGCTAACAGAGTATGCAGTTGAATTTTTATTTTCTCTATGGATTTGTGCCAAGGAGCTCAGGAGAGAGCCACGGTTTCATACAGCACAAATGAGTAGCTGAAAATGAACTTCAGCCCACGATAATAAGCTAACACATTGTTACACCATCAGAATTATTTCTTCAATCTTCTATGTTTATTGGTTTCTGTATATCACCACAATATTTTCTATTGAAGGAAACCTTCAGAATATTTAGCTAATAATGCCAAAGCCCCATGGCAGCATTTTTTAGTAGAACCTTAATTTCTAAGTTTAGTGTAAAAGAAGACTATCATATAGAAGAATAACTCCATTTGGAAGAATATAAAAAAAAAAAGAAAATCCTGTTACTTTGGTTCAATAGGAACTACTGCAGGATTTTGGCAAGTAACTTTAAAAAGGTAAGGTTTTGGAGATTTTCCAAGATATTTTACTTATGCTTAAACCTTATTTCTAAAGAAAATGTCTTCTTCAGACAAATAGCTTTTGAGACATAGACATATTATATTAAATAAGCCCAGTACAGCATTATCCTGTGTGGATGATAGTATATTTTATGTAACTTTTCAGATTTAGTCTATTAGATAGATTACTTCTCTGTGTGACTTCCCAGAGTTCTTCATCTCAGAATATTAATATTAAAATAATGTATTTAACAGCAACCCCAAAATGCATATAGAACTGTGTTTTATACCTTACAGTTATCTGACACATAATTGTATATAAAAAATAAAATTATATTAGTTGATGCTGGTAAGGCTTTCTAATTCCCTTATCACTAAAAGAAAAATCAGTGAAAAACTTTAACTAATTTTGGTCGAATGACTGAATTGCTTTGCCTTTTTCATCTTCTTGCAGCTTCCAAGTTTTCCTCATTTCCTTCTGCTGTCCTGAGCTGCTGGTATCTCTAGCTTGTTTACATTGGGATTCTGTATTCTTGTCAAGACTCATAAGAAGGAAAGGTCAGCCTTACCAGTGTTGCTCAAAATTCATGTTATCTTTAGTCTTTTAACCATATTATTCCTATAGAGGTTTTGCCTTACTTGATTATGTAGTTCTAAAATAGCTGCTTATCATTCCATTTTGCAGAGAAAAATCTTTGTTTTTCATTTGCAGCATTCTTTACTTCTTACCCTACTATATTCTGAGTGCTTTTTTTGCTTCCCCTTTTTGCTCTGACAGAAGAGACATTTTAACCCTGCTCTTTTGGGCATTGACAATAGTTTCTTTGTTGACTTGGAAGCTTAATATTTTGGACAAAAATATGGCAATGGTGTCACTTCCTGTGTAACACCATGCTATTTCCTGTATAACCATACCATTCTTGTGGGAATATCGTTAACTATTTCCTACCCACTGGACTGTGACAGCTCATAAAAATTTTATTTAATCATTTTATACCCGGCACTGTATGAACTGCCCTTTTCCTAGCTTTTGTTAAGAAAGCTTGGTAGGGCATATCATACACATATCCAATTAATTAAAATAAGGTCAAAGTATGTGTGTGCATAAACTCAACTGCCTACTTTAAAATTATTAGATATAATTTACTTACAATTCTTCAAACCTCCAAAGTAAATGCCAAGTTGACTTTTTGAATTTTTTTTTGCAGAATGGTAGCTTCCGCACCTCTTAGATGCATTTTAAAATACGGCAAATAACTTTACTGTTAATTTTTTAAATTTTGATTTGCTTTCTACTCCTAGCTTAAACATTTAATAATACAGTGGAACAAGTAAGAAATATGCATAATGCCATTTATTGGGCTTTCCCTGTATTAAACATTGTACCTGACATTTTATGTACATTAACTTTATCTTCAAAAGGCTACAAGGTAGAAGTGATTTCCATTTTTTAGATGAAAAAGCTGATACTCAAAAAAGTTAAGTGACTTTTCCAGAGTATCAAATATCAAGTGACAAAACTGATTTAAACAATGGTAGCTAACTTCTAACCCCAACTCACCCCGAGGTGCCTCTTTACATAATACTACATTATACGTAGGTGATTTGTTTTTATGATAATGGGGTAGGTAAAGATATTTTGGAACCCAACCCAAAATACTGCAATGCCTAAACCTACCACGACTTTTTTTCTGTGTCCAGTGTTTTGTTATATAATGTAATTTTTCTGATAGTTACTTTTTAAATACATGAAAAGAGAAAAATAACATGTTAAATCATGTTAGAAAATACGAATGTAGTACTATATCTTAGATAATGTGCTAACACTTTATATACTTTATGTGTTCAGTCAAAGGATACTACTAATAATATGGTTTTAGTCATTTAATTATCATTACTAAGCACCTTCAAAGTTCTAGACATTATATTGGATATTAAGAATATAAAGATAAGTAAAGCACAAACCCTCAAGAAAATTAAAGTACAGTGAAGACAGGATACATTCTCTATGCATATCACTTATATAAGTTGTCAAAGTGATTTTTTTGAATTACACCTGGAACCATAACAGCCAAATTTTATAGTGGAGGACCCTGGAATCAAGAGGAGAAATACCAATAGAAGCGAAACAGAGATTTAATGTTCTTCCTGTTCCCTGCTGAGACTTACGGTGGCCTACATAACAGTGTTGACTCTGTCCAACATCTAAAGAAATCCCTTGATGAAGGAGCTGCCAGCCTTCAGAGGAGCCTGATAAATATTCTTTTCTTTCTGAAGACTTGCAGTTGATTTTCACTCTAGCGTTCTAAGAAATTCTATAGACTTTTTGCAGTTTAGCATCCAATATATATGTGTCACCATTTAATATAAGCAAGAATACACTTGAAGATATACTTTTTCAATCTACATGTTTTCTTGAAAAGAATACTTAAGTGTATCAAAGTTCTTTTCCATTTTTTTGTTATTATTTTGGTTTGCAGAAAAAATGAGAAAAAAATGATGCGAAAGCCACAGAACTCAAAGTAAGAGATTTTCATGTTCATCCACTTAAGTTTGGGACTATAAACCACAATAATTCTAAATTCCAAAAAAGTTTTGTGCTCAACACAGTGTCTAGAAAATTCAAGACTTAAAAATTTCCTAATTTCAATTAAATAAATGCATTAAATAATACCCCTTTACTGAGCATAAAATAGTTATGTAAATTTACCAGTAAAAATGTTAAATAAGGTACTTATTCTACTAATCTTATAAAGATGCTTGAAATTAAAAGTAACTTTTATTTCTTGGCCTCTCATTGAAGGTCTATCCATTAAACATTTATTAGCTATGTCAGATATTGCATAGGGGCCACATTGAAGCTATGAAGGACACGTATTTTTTCAACCCAGATTTCCAGAACTGTTTTATTGACTTTTGCATTTAAGCTCCAGCCTCAAAATTTTCTGAAGGACAGAGGCATAATGTGTTATCTATTGCCTGGGAATAATGAAAAATGAAATGTATAATAGGAATATATACTTTACACTTAACATATGGAATGACAAAGTATCCATCTCAAGTATGACTAAATATTAATAAATCGCAATCTGAATAGAAAACCAAAGAAGCAAACAATTCTATTATGCAAATAGCAGTAATTTATTGTGCAGTTAGAAAATAACAATCTCTAAAAATAAATGTTTGTAACAAACTATCTCATGCATATAAGTAGATCAACAATTTATTCCATATTCCTGTGAAGCTTGCCAACAGATCTAAGACACAGTTAAGAAGTTAAGATGTTTAAAGCCTTTCTTTATCTGTTTTATATTGTTTCCTCTAAGGTCATATTATTATTGAAATAGTGTGCGTGTGTGTGTGTGTATGTGTGTGTCTGTGTGTGTGTGTGGGTATGAGATTCCTGTAATATACATTTTTCTCATTCAAAAGCCTGATTCTGAAAACTGAATTTCCCAAAACATTCTGATAGGGAAACAAATCAGTTTCCTAGAGTTAAATGGAACAGTAGAATCATGTATTTCAGATTCAGAATTTTCTTCCACAGTGAGATTAATTTTCCAGCCTCTCTCACTCATTCATTGCATATTTATTGGGCATTTTTTATTTGCCAGTGCTTACACTGGGCAACATAAATATAATATTGAGTGAAAACAGATATGATCTCATGAAGGTACAGTCTGGTGGAGAAATACTTTACTGGAATTATTATATATGTAGAATTTAATTATCAATTGTGGCAAGGGCTTTGAGAGAGGGGAATATGATAGGTGGTATTGCCTTAATTAGGAAAGTAATAGCTTATGTGAGGAAGGGATGATTTGAGTCTGAGAAGATCCAATAGACAGTATTGCACTGTCCCCCCACCCCCACCTCCATCTCAAATGAATAAAATGAAGATTTTCAAGAAGAGTTGCATAAGTGTCTATCTGAAAGAGGGTCTGGGTTTATGAATTAACTGTGATAATGGCATTCTGTGAACAAGATGTAAGTGACCACTTCTATGCCCCAAAATCTTGTAACACAATACCTGAAAAGAATATTAAGGGCTGACTTGAAAACACTTTTGAGAGGATAAGATGGAAGCTAAATAATTATTCTCAGCCTTCACTGCAGATAAAATAAAAGAAAATTAGTCAAAATTACATCATTTTTATTTAAGGAATATAGCACCATGCATTAACAAGGCATATATATGCAATGCCTAGAAGTCATTCAGAATATATGTCGAGAATAAAAAGAATTTTATCTCCCCAGAACTATTCTTAACTTTCCTTCTGCTTCCATTTTTCTTTAATGGCCCAAGAGCCTCAGGATCACTGGAGCTCAAAAACAGACTCACCGTCTATAACATTACTATGTTTAATCAGTAGCCAAGTCCTACCTATTCTACCTTAATGATATCATTCTTATTCCACCATCACTGCTGTAATTCGGGCCTGCAATACATTTCAGCTGTGGTATTCTAATAGACTCGTCAGTGGTCACTGTAGCTCAGACTGTCATTCTCGTCATTCATTTTGCACATTGGAACTAGTGTACTCTCCTTAAAATACATCTCTAGTCACAAGACATCCTTTCACAGACTTCACTTAATAAGCAATAGGGAATTGTTGAAAGTTTTAAAACCCATTAGCCTATAATTCATGCTTATTCTCAAGAACTATTTACAACTTATATTGTTTTATCTCAATAAAAACATATCCCCATAATACATTTACTGAACAGATATTTATTGGGCATCTACTGTATGCTAGAAATTAGAGATACAAAAATAGAAAAAAAAAGTTCTCTTTCTATAGCTTGCAAATTAGCAACCTATACATTTGAATACAAACATTTTCATAGCAAATACAGCTATAAAAAGCTAAATGTCATGGAGTTGTAGAAAAAAGTTATTCTGGTCTAATTCATTCTGTGATGTTTCTTCTTTTGAGTTTTCTGTTATGAGTGTGTCAGAAACTGCCTAATTTCTTTAAAGTGTGTTTAGATATGAGAGTAATGACTCCATTATGTTAGGATTGTAATTACTTCTCTGTTGTCTCTGGCTTTGCATGTGATTTAATTATGTTACTGACAAATTGCTGTATCATGGTTATTCTCAAAACAACGGTATATTCCACTGATGCTTCCTTTTGAGGACCACAGGTATTTTTAGGTGCTATTGTTTATTACAAATTTATATTTAGCCCATTTTATAGATATATGTACCCACATTTTGCAAATGAAGAGGTGACATTTGTTCCTTCTCTGGCTTTTCATTTAGTTTGAGATAATATATATTTAATTTGCTCTTATAACTAATAAACTGATATTTATTATCTTATAATAACTAATAAGGTTATACTTATAACTAATATATTATAAGTAATAAACTTAGTTGCAAATTTTAATTGATAAATTAAATTGAGTAAAGATATTCAATTTATAGCTAGCAGATTTAGCTTACTTGTCTGTTCACTAGTAATCAGGTATAAATATAAATACATGCACACACACACATATATACTTATAAACAGACAATAGTTTGTATGGATGCTTGAATTAAAAGTTATTGATTTTGATCTTTCTCTAGTGTGACTTTCAAAATAGGCCTATGAAATGAATGATTTGTCCAACTTCCTATAGAGGTTAAAATTCAAATGAAAATCCACAGCTTTCAAGACTTTCTATGTCCTTGGGAAGGATCTCAAATTAAAGGAATGGCATGATCTCTTCCCCTGCTCCACTTCTAACCCCTGGAAATGAACATTTTTTAAAGAGCTCATTCTGCTAAACCATAAGTTTTGTGACAATATGATTTAATTCGAATATTATGGATTTCAATCCAGGCTGACCTAAATTTGAATCTATTGTTTCTGTTCCTTAGCTCTGTGATATTTTTATAGTGGTTGAATCTCTCTAAGTTTCAGAGTATTTTTGAAAAAGCAGTCACAACATCCACTTCAAAGTTCTGTTGTGATTTATTTATTTATTTATTTATTTTGACGGAGTCTCCCTCTGTCGCCCAGGCTGGAGTGCAGCGGCGCGATCTCGGCTCACTGCAAGCTCCGCCTCCCGGGTTCACGCCATTCTCCTGCCTCAGCCTCCCAAATTGCTGGGACTACAGGCGCCCGTCCCAATGCCCGGCTAATTTTTTTGTGTTTTTAGTAGAGACGGGGTTTCACCACGTTAGCCAGGATGGTCTAGATCTCCTGACCTCGTGATCCGCCCACCTCAGCCTTCCAAAGTGCTGGGATTACAGGCGTGATCCACCGCGCCCGGACTGTTGTGATTTTTAAATGAGATAAATGTATTTAAAGCCCTTAGCATGTATAAAGCACTTAAAACACGTTTATTTCTGTCTCCCTATCTGGTATGTTTCTGTAAACAAGACATCATTTTGAAAATACTCAGTCATCTAACATTTTGTATAAATAAAATATTTTCTTATTACCCCCAGCCTCTGACAGTTTTAAATTCAAACTGAGATACAGAAATCAAAATGCTCAAGGGCAAAGGACAAGGTTAAATCTGTGAAGCATAAGAATAGAATAAAAGTCTTAACCCTCATCCCCGATCCTTATTCCTCAGAGGCTGTGAAACCACCTTTGCAAAAATTATAACAGTGAGAAAATTATGGCAGTGAAAGAGATCTGACCTAACCAACTCCATCTTGCCTTTAACCTCCAAACTGCCTTTAGCCATTCCTGGGTGGAAGACCACTTTGAGAGAAACTTATTTTATAGTTTAAATGATAATGGCCCTTCCCAAAACTAAACCACCTTTATAAAACTAGTAAAAGACCACAAGATTAGGATTATTAGAGGGGCCTGAATTCTGCTAAAGTTTAGATGTAATTAAAGAATTGCCAGCCATTGTTCTAGAGGTCACAAAATTTGTAACTTTTCCAATTGCTCCTATAAATAACATCACTGTTGCAGAACCTAAGATTGGCCTTTTGAGATGTCTTTTCAGACTTTTGCATTTCTGATGACTGGGTGACTCCAGTTCCATGACTCATGACTCATGACTCAGTGATCCTGTGGTCCCAACTCAGAAGCAGATTCAGCAAATAAGGACTATTTTCCATGTACCTATGCCACACCAACCAATCAGTATTCCCCACTCCCTAGCCCCTGCCCACCAAACTGTCTTTAAAAAAACCCTAGCTCTGAATTTTGGGGGAGACTAATTTGAGTAATAAAACTCCACTGTCCTGTTTAGCCAGCTCTATGCGTATTAAACTCCTTCACTGTTGCAATTCATCTGTCTTGATAAATCAGCTCTACCTGGGCAGTGAGCAAGATGGACCCTTTGGGCAGTTACAGGTGTATCAACTGTTCAGATAGTCATGTTGACTTCTTTGGCTACTGATAAGCCATCAGGGTCTCCATAACAGAACTGCTCAAGTGAGGCAAACTGGCCTGTGATACTAATCTAGGTTTCAAAAGTACCTAAGAAATTCCTTTAAAGCAGGTCATGTGCTAGAAGAATCTAGTACAGATTTAACAAAGCAAGAAAACTAGGCCATAGCTCATTTAAGTCTGTAATTGCTTTGAGGTTCAACAGGAGACTGCGATCATAATCATAAAATATATTTTGCTTTGCTTTCTTTCTAAACTATTTATTCTCTTGATCTCTCTTTTCCTTCCACTTTTCTGTTAGATTCCAAGGACAGAAATATTAATAACTCTGGCGAGGTTAAATTATAATACATTTCTTTCTCTTATTTGTTATAGTTCAATATTGTCAGATATTTTTATTTGTTTTTCATGCATTTATTTATCTTTAAATGACAATTGATTTGAATTACAGGGAGATGTTATTGGCGAATAATCATCTAATTGAGGATTAAGAGACTGAGATGGAATTGTTCCCTTGACTCCCAGGCAGGAACTGGAGTGGCTTGTTTTACTCAGCCCACCACTGGCCACTCCTTGTAAGAGGAGGCGTGAGAGTGGGCGAGTGTGGGAACCTGAGCTAATGAATGCTGGGACTGACCAGTCACTCCTCTCTGGCAGGAGCAGGCTCTGTGCGGCCCCAGAGCAGCATCCAAGTGTGTTACAACCAATGCTCTTTCAGCTCTGTTGTCTGGGGACATCCAAGTGCCCAGCAGCTAAGTGGAGGGTCAAGGTGGCCGCCTTTGTCCTCTAGAAAGGTTCCTTGTCCAGCGTCCAGGAAGTATCCTTGTCCAGCGTCCAGGAAGAATCAGGTCACAAGAACTATTTGAAAGGTGATGAATGCAGAAGATTGTATTGAGTGGTGGGTGGCTCACAGTGGAAAGGGAGGCTGGAAAGGGGATGGGAAGGTGATCTTTCCTCGAAGCCCAGCCACCTCTGGCTGGGCCTCTTGCCAAAGCCGCACCATCTGAAGTTAGCAGCTTCTATCCATAGTCTCTGATGCTCAGTTGCTTCTCTGCTTTCTGCTCAGTCACTTGCTTGTATCCTCAACACTCAGCCGCTTGTATCCTTGACGCTCAGCAGCTTGTGCTGCTCTGCCAGCTAAAGTCTTTTATGAGCACAGGATAGGGATGGGGCAGGCCAAAAAAAGCAACATTTGGATGGAAAAATGGGGCCAGCTGTTTTCACTTAGGGCTGCAGTTCTAGGCTTAAAGGTGGGGTTTAGCAAGAAGCCCAGCCCTTCTGTATTAATATTGTGGGGGCTATAGGCTCTTGGCCCCCTAAAGATTGGCTTAAAAAAATCACTGATGTGAACCAGGTTAATTAATAGGAGAAAAGGCATACAAATTTATTTAATGTGCATATATAGGAGCCTTCAGAATGAAGACCCAACTTCCCAATGAATTATAGAAACTTATCTTGAGGTTATAGAAGGAATGGGGAATTGATCCTGGTAAAACAGATTATGGGAGGGGAGAGAAGAGGAATTCTACTGAAAGGCAATATATGATTGCTGGGGAAAGTGGTTAAATTTAGGAACAGAGATTAACATGTAAATAGATTTCTTTGGAATTCAAATGATCCATAGAGACAGTCATTATCCTCATAAAAAGGATCTGCTCAGGTGTGGTCGCATAGAGGCCTTATTTTCTGCAATAAAATAACAAGATAACAGAGAGAGGAAGAAAAACAATTGCTCTTCTTGATGGATCTGGATTTTAGGTAGATAAAGGAACTTTATTTTCTTTGGGAGAGATAGTATGTGAGGAAGGTCAGAGATACCTTGATGTTTCTTCAGTTTAGCATGTCACAATGTCATATTTTGGGGTCTTGGTTTCTGAGTCCCAACACCGAGGAGATAAAGGAAACGGTTTGTGCGTGTGTGAAAACAAGAAGTTGAGTGGGGAGGCTGGAATAACACATTTAAAAGAAGCAATGGGATTTGATTTGTTCCTGCCTTACAAACAACAGGATTCCCTGAGCTAGTCCCTGACTGTTCCCCACTCTGCCATCGCACATTGCCTAGGACTTCTCACTCTGTCTTATGGCTTTTGATTTAGATACCAGGAACTCTCACATTTACAGATCAATTCCTAAACCCCACACCCAGCCCCAAACTTGTATGCTTAACTGCCCTACTACACGTTGGATATTGACGTCTAACTAACACTGAAAAATTATCATGTCAAAAAGAGAACTATTGGGAAGGGTGCGATGGTTCATACCTGTAATCCCAGCACTGTGGGAGGCCGAAGTGGGTGGATAGCTTCAGCCCAGGAGTTTGAGACCAGCCTAGGCAACATGGCAAAATCTCATTTCTTAAAAAAAAAAAAAATACAAAAAAAGAGAACTGTGGATATTTCCCGTCTTAGTATGTACAAACATGTGCATGCATACACACACACATACGTACACAGACACACAGACAAAACTGTGTTACTATAACAATTTTAGCACTTTTAATAAATGAAACTTGATTAGGTCTGGTCTGTGGGAGTCAATATTGACTCATGTTTTTTTCACATTCTAGTTGTTATTCATTAAAATGATCCTGAATTCAACAATTTCTCATCACCTCCATTGTTAGAAACCTCATCAATCAATTATCAAATTTGTACCCTATGTACCTCTCAGTAAAAACAAACAAAGCAGCATATTCTCTAGCATATATATTTATTAAATTCTAATTATATGTAATAAATATTATATTCATAATGAAGTGTACAGAATTTTTAAATATTCTAATTTATTAAAGTCATATTGAAAACATTCTTACTGACAGTAAAATTAGTTACTATTTTAGTTACTATCATTTCATGGAAAAGACTTCATTATTTTTGAAAATCTTAGTTTAGTAATTTCAGATTAGAACCAGACTTTTTTTTTTTTTTTCTTGAGACAGGGTCTCACTCTGTCTCACAAGCTGAAAGGCAGTGCAACCTCAAACTCCTGTGCTCAAGAGATCTTTCTGTCTCAGCCTCCTGAGCAGCTAGGACTGTAAGCATGTGCCCCCACATTCAGCTGACTTTTTAATGTTTTGAAGAGATAGGATCTCTCTGAGTTGTCCAGGATGGTCTCAAACTCCTGGCCTCAAGCCATCCTCCTACCTCTTCGGCCTCCCAAAGTATTGGGATTATAGGCATGTACCACTACAATTGGCCTGGTGTGCTATGATGTGCATAGTTTATTTTTATTTTATTTTTAGTGGCTCCCATAACTTCAAAAAATATTTTTTTAAAAGGACTCAAATTATAAAAATACATTTTTGACTGAGTTTCCTCTATTATGTTCATTAGATTTAACAATTTATCCACCAATTGTGGGCTTTTTGCTGAAATTGCTTGCTAAATCAATTATCTGTGTAAACTAATTAGAAGATGTTGTATCTTCATGGTTTTAACACACAGATTCAAAACGACAAGCTCTTAGAAGATTTGTAAGCTGGTTAGAAAATTCTGTGCCTAGGGTTTTAAATGGTACAAGTAAAAGAGATTTAATGACACATTTAACATAATTTTATTAACAAAAGGCCATCAAATAGAAACATTTCAAACATCCATTTCCAAAATGCTCTCTGAAGTGCACAATTTTTTAAGTTGTTACTTTCTCACTCATTTTAAAACATAATTTGAAAGACCAAATTAAGATTGTTTCCTCAAAAACATATATTAAATGATTTAATACTAATATTTATTACATGAAAGTGATTAAATCTGATATACTTGTCTTTTTGTAAAAAAAGAAGTTTATCTTTGCATTTCATAACTCTTCATATATTTGGACAGGAAACAAGTAAACTGCTGTGCATCTATAAAATGTTCATTGTCCCATCCATCTCATTAGAAGATGATGTAAAAAGTTCAAAACTAAATGAAAACCTTACATTAAACATAAAGATATTTTTCTTTAGCATGCAAATTGTTCTGTATAGCAAGAAACTGAAGCGAATAAATGAATGAGGGAACAATTGGGACCCCTTGTGAGTGTCACACTGTTGAGAGACATTGGATGGCAGCTGAAATGTATACAACATTTGTGGATCCAAGCTTTAGACCAACAGAGGGCACCAGTGCCAATCAATATTGTAAACAATAGTAAGGCTTAATTTCTTTTCTTTTTTTTTTTTTTTTTTTTTTTTTTTTGAGATGGAGTCTCGCTCTGTCGCCCAGGCTGGAGTGCAGTGGCGCGATCTCGGCTCACTGCAAGCTCTGCCTCCTGGGTTCACGCCATTCTCCCACCTCGGCCTCCCGAGTAGCTGGGACTACAGGCACCCGCCACCACGCCTGGTTAATTTTTTTGTATTTTTAGTAGAGACAGGGTTTCACCATGTTAGCCAGGATGGTCTCGATCTCCTGACCACCTTGTGATCCACCCGCCTCAGCCTCCCAAAGTGCTGGGATTACATGAGTGAGCCACCGCGCCCGGCCTAGTAAGACCTAATTTCTTAAAGTTAAACGGCTTTCTAAATGGAAGTCTTAACCTACCTTCTTTTTTACCATTTTGTTTTATCTTGTGTCACTGGCATTCTTGGGGAGCATGCATGTTACATTAATGACTACCAGTTAATGCAATAACCTCTATTTGGCAGACAGAATCATTTTTAAAAATACGTATATACATCTGTCATAGAAAAATGCAAATTAAACTTCAAAATGCTCTTGAAAATAGTTAAAGTTAAAAAGATGTAAAATATTATGTTAATTAGAACATGGGACAAAAAGAACCCTCATAAACTGCTGGTATGAGTAAAAATTGGTATAACTATTTTAGGAAACTGTTTGGTAGGATCTACTAAAGCAGAACATATGCATCCTTAAAACTCAACAATTCCACTTCTGTCCAAAAGAAATGAGACCTTCTACCCAAAAGAAAAGACCTTCATAGCAGCACTATCTTCAAAGGACAAAAAAATGTGAAACTATCCAAATGGCTATTAAAGAATGGAGAAATTTATACCAGAGTATTTCTATAATGTAACACTACAATGCGATGAAAACAGTTCTAGCTACTGGTACACAAAATGACATGAAAATAAAAACCTTATGGGTATGTTAGCTAAAAGAAACCACATGTCAAAGAATATGTAATCTAAGATATTATTATAGCCTAAACTGAGTCCCCTTCAAAATTTATCTCTAGAGGACCTAAACCCCAATGTGACTACATTTGGAGATAGAGCTTATAGAGGAGATAATAACTGTTAAATAAGGTTTAAAGGGTGGTGCCCCAATATAATAGAACAGATATCCTCATAAGAAAAATAAGAAACACTATAGCTTTCTGTCTTGCACACATTCACAGAGGTAAGTCCATGGGAGATCACAGCAAGAACGTGGCCATCTCCCAGCAAGAAATAGTGCCCTCACCAGAAGCCAAATCTACCAGAACTTGACCATGGACTTCTAGCCTCTGGAAATGTGAGAAAATTAATGTCTGTTATTTAAGCCATCCAGTTAAAGGGGTTTTAAAATGGGAGTTGAGACTACTAGTACAGATTTTGGTAACATGAAGTAGGGGATAGTGCTGAATAAATACTTAAAAATGTGAAAGAGCCTTTGGAATGGGGTGGTGGGTGGAGGCAAGAGTTTTGAGTTGCTTCCTAGAACAGCCTCGACTGTCTTAAAGGGAGTATTGGTAGAAATATGAATGAGCTACACAGAGTATATAGATAACCTCATGAACAGAATGTTGGCAGAAATACAGGCATTAAAAGCCATTCTGATGAGGCCTCAGACAGAAATAAGGTACATGGTAGAAACTGGAAGAAAGTTGATCCTTGTCATAAATTGGCAAAGAGCTTGCCTCAATTGTGTCCTAGTGTTTTGTGGAATGTAGAAATTGTGAGAAATGAAATTGGATATTTAGCTTAAGACATCTATAAGCAAAGTTTTAAAGGCATGGCTTGGTTTCTCATTATCACATATAGTAAAATGCAACAGGAAAGAAATAAACTGAAGAACTTGTTAAGCAAAAAGGATCAAGAACTTAAAGATTTGTAAAATTATAAGCTTATTCATATTGCAAAAAAAGAGGAAGCATGTTCTGAAGAGAACGCTAAAGCTGGAGCTGAACAAGAATTTCATAAGGAGAGTATATGGTTGTGAAGCATGGATTTATTCAGCCACCTCAACAGAAGCCAGAAATAGACATGGGATTATACCAGCAAAAACTCTACTGGGTGGGAGTAAAGGGGTGAAGAAAATGTGATGGAATGAAGGAAAGCTGTTGTGCCTATGAGGTTCTAAAGAATGGGACCCTAGACCTGTCCAGCTGTGCATATGCATAATCTTTCAAGAAAAGGAAAGCATGGACCCACAGTGATTCAGAAATCTTTAGGGTTGCCACTCCCACCACAAGCCTAACAGGCAATGCTGGTTTCTTCTTGGTTTCAAAGAGTGGAGCTATTGCCTTGATCTCAGCTGACCAGACCACCTCTGCCCTGTGCCTCAACACTGGGGATGTCATAAAAGGCCATGGGGACAGGGTGCTTCCCAGAGCTCAGGGATAAGGGTCACCACATAGGAACGTGGGGTTGATGCTGCCACCTCAGCATCAGAAGGTGGGGCATTGGGTCAAGGATGATTATTCCCAAACTTTAACATCTAATGCAATTTACCTTGCTAGGTTTTGAATTTGCTTAGGGCTTATCATCCTTTTCTTCTTTCTGATTTCTCCCTTTTGTAATGGGAATGTCTATCTTATGTCTGTCCCATCATTGTATTTTGAAAGCACATAATTTGTGTAGTTTTTTTTTAGACAGAGTTTTGCTCTTGTCGCCCAGGCTAGAGTGCAGTGGCATGATCTCGGCTCACTGCAACCTCAGCCTCCCAGGTTCAAGCAATTCTCCTGTCTCAGCCTCCTGAGTAGCTGGGATTACAGGTGGCCACCGCCACGCCTGGCTAATCTTTTGTATTTTTAGTAGAGACAGGGTTTCGCCATTGGAAAGGCTGGTATCAAACTCCTGACCTCAGGTGATCCACCCATCTCCACCCCACAAAGTGCTGGGATTACAGACTTGAGCCACCGTGCCTGGCCAATTTGTCTAGTTTTGTAAGTTCATAGGTGAAGAGGAATTTTGCCTCAGACTGAACTGTACTTCAAGTCTCATCTGTATCTGATTTAGTTGATATTTAGATGATATTTTTGGCTTCAAACTTTAGAGTTGATGCTAAAATGGATTAATACTTCTGAGGCTGTTGAGATGGAGCAAATGCATTTTGCTTGCAAGAGGTACATGAATTCTGAGGGGATGGCAAAGGATAAAATGTTATGGACTGAATTGTATCCCCACATCACACCCCCCACCACCAAATTCATGTCTTAAAGCCTTAACCCTCAATCTGACTGAATTTGGAGCTAGAGACTATAAGGAGATAATAAAGGTTAAATCATGTTACAATCCAATGAAACTCATGTCCTTATCAGAAGAAAGATAGACACTGGAACTCTCTCTCCATGTACACAGAGAACAGACCTTGTGAGAACACAGCAAGAAGGAGGCCATCTACCAGCCAGGAAGAGAGCTTTTATTAGAAAATGACTATTCTGGCACCTTGATCAAGGACTTCTAGCCTCCAGAACTGTGGGAAAATAAATGTATGCTGTTTAAGCCATAGAGTCAGTGGTATTTTGTTATGGCAGCCTGAGAATAAATGGCAGATACCATTTATCTATGGTGATAGAAGTCAGGGTACCCAAGTAATGAACATTTGGCACAAAGAAGCACCAGGGAACCCCCTGCATCTTGATCTGGTTTCTATGTGTTGGTTACATGAGCATGTTCCATTTATAAACATTTTTCAAGCTTAGCATTTTTGATGTGTGTATATTATATGTCCATAAAATACATAGGTATGCATGTTGTATATTAGGATTATGTGGGTGTGTGTGGGTGTGTATTTGTATCAGATGAAATGACATTGAGTTTCAAATGTCTCAGTAGATATTATCACATTCAGAATAAAATACAAACTCTTAACTCTAGGCTATAAAATTCAACATGATAAGGCCCCTTCATATTTTGACACCTCTATATTCCTAACACCTTCGCTATCCTCCCTGCTCATTCACACCAGCCACACTGAACTTCTTGCTAATCTTTGAAAATGTTTTCATGGGGGCAAGATTCTCAGCTGTTTTCTTCTCAACTCTACTGCCATTAATTAAAACAGTGCCCGGTTTGGAATAAGTGCCCTTTAAACATTGAGGGAATGGAATACGAAGACTCTTGATGGTCAACTTGAACTCAGTATAAAGAGCCATCATTTACTAGCTCCCACATGTGAATTTTAGCTCTCTAAATAAAATTCCTAAAACTCTTCTGTGATTTTTCTTTGCTAACAGGGCAGTTTTTAATTTTACGTCAATCAGAAAGGATATAACAGCTTTAAAAAAAAAAGTGGAGAGTAGAATGGCTGTTTTAAACCCATTCCCCCAAACATCCACATATTAGACACTGCTTATAGTATTCCTCAAAGTATTGGCTTTTATGTTGTCTAAAGTAAGACAAATATTCCTACCTAATTAACAAATATTGCAATGATATTTGAATCTTATTCGACCTGAGATTCAGAAGCATGAAATAATTATAAACGCATTTTAAAGGTATCCTGCTAGCAATCATTCATAGTGCAGAGACCTAGAAGTTTCCAAAAGACATGTATTGAGAATATAGTTAAAATAATATCTATGGGGAAAAATTACTTCTCCAATAAAATGAGTCTTTCTTCCATTGGCCATATGTTCCCACAGCTAGGAGATTTCAGAAAATTGAAGATGGCACAAGTTTAGTGTAAGTTAATACCAGGGGTGAGGGGAGCTAGATTAGAAATTTTCCTTTGCAAGGATGGCATTTCCCACAGTTCTGCCCCCTTGCTTTGCAGAAGTATGGGATCCATCCGGCCACAGTTTGTGGATACTAAGGGAGGAATGCAGTTTGGAGGAGTGAGGTGCTGAGTTTGGCATGACTCAGTGCCATCTGCTCACTCTTGGAATCCACAGATGTTCCATATCAAAAAACTGTGTAAGTTAAGGCTTAACATGCTCGGTGGGCACTCAGACCCCCACCCGCCAGAGCATCTCTGTAGGTAGGCAGTGGCAGAGTGACAAGGAAGGAAGCATCCCTTCTGAGCCCGATGCAGGGGAGACTTTGAGAAGAAAGAAGTCTCCTGCTTCCTTGAACAGCCCACTTTGCCAACAAGCACATCTGAATGACTTGAGCTTAGAAGCAAATTGTACACCATGGAGAGAGTCAAGTATGGTGGATTGAGCATTGGACAATGAGTCCAAAAGATTTGGCCACTGTTCCTGGATCCATTACTGAATCCCTTTGTGACCTTGAGGAGGTCAGATAACTTCTCTGTGCCTTCGCTTTTCTGTTTCCAAAAACCGCCAGTTTTTCTTGCTCCTCTGTACTTCCCAGCAGGATTTCTTTTCTGCATCTATTTGAATTTTTGATGTGTAAACTCTTCCATAAAATCTTGGGGGTTCTGAGAAGCTCCATATATCATCATAAGAAATATATTGAAATACCTAGCTTCATAATTATGTTAAAACTGATTTCATCAATGTGATGTCTACTCACAAATTTTTTTTAAAGGGCAAACTATGATGTTAAGATAATACTAAATGCTGAGTTCTTTGGGTCTCTACAATATAAATATATAGATATAATAAAAATATTCTGTATTTATTATTTTAATCATAGATTTTTGCTAGCTATTTATCATTTCTTAATTTTGTTTACCACAATAGAGTCAAATATAACGAAAGTAAATATTATAGCCTAGCCTCTCAATTGGTTGTATTTGCGTCTTATATCAAAACGTTTACTGAGAGAACACCCTGACTTCTCTGGCCATTGAGTTTAAATTTTCTTACATGTAATGTCAGCCTTCTAGTCATTGAGTTAGCCATGTTGTGAGATTTAAAAGGAGGCCAGAGCTTGTGAAACATGATCATGACTTTCCTAGAATTTTGAGGAATGAAAATGAAGTTCCTATTCAAAGTTCTTCTTCCCTCATCATATTGAGTTCTATATGGAATAGATGAGTATTAGCAATAGAGAAGGGGCACAGGAGAGGATAATCTTAATTCTGTTTCCTCTGAGATCAGGTATCTGACTGATAGGGTGTAGTCTATACAGGAGCTAATTATATAGAACATCAGTATGAGCTGTCATGGGAGAGTGTAGCTTAAGTGTAAGAGCACGAACTTTGTAATAAACTGAGTTTAAATCCTGATTCTGTAATATAGTTGCTGTGTGATATTGGCATTTTAACTAACATATCTTTGTACTTTGCCTTCTCCTTTGGAATAGGAAATAAATTATATCCCAGCCTTATAAAGTTGTGTGTGTGTGTGTGTGTGTGTGTGTGGAGATTAAACAAGATAATGCATGAAAAGTGCTTAGCATAGTGCTACCTAAATATTAGCTTCGTGGCGTTTGTCATACATTCAATTGCTGAAAGATTCCTTTACTGACTATGAGATATTTTCTAAGAGTGACGTATTGTTTTGTTAAGTACTTATTGTATTGTCTTAGGATGGGTTCCCATAAAAGTAGAGCGTGAGATACAGATTGTGCAAGTTATTGATTTTGTAAGTGATGTCTGGAAGTACCAGTAGGAGAGTAGGACAAATATTTTCTTATTTTTATTTTGTTTTGAGACAGGGTCTCGCTCACGCATGCAGGCTGGAGTGCAGTGGTGCTGTCATGGCTCACTGTAGCCTCAATTTCTTGGGCTCAAGCAATCCTCCCTGCCCAGCCTTTCAAGCAGCTGGGACTACAGGTGTGTGCCATCACTCCTGGATAAGTTTTATAGGTTTTATTTTTTTTGAGAGAGAGGGGGTTTTGCCACGTTGTCCAGGCTTGTTTTGAACTCCTGGGCTCAAGTGATTCACCTCCTTCGCCTCCCAAAGTGCTGGGATTACAGGGATGAGCCACCGTGCTTGGCCGAGAGTAGGAAAATTAAGGAAGAAACAAAGGCAATGTAGAGCATGTTAATGAACAGGTTACTCTTATGGGCATTTGAGGCTCATTCCAATTGCTGACTTCTAGTAGATTTCATGGGATGCTCCTCAGAGATAGTCCTCACAAAGAATGAGGAAGTTGAGGTATTTACCCATAGATCCCCTTCCCTGAGTGGCTGAACGCTGATCCCAGAGGTGTAAACTTCTAGCCACTTCCATCTTATTCAGGTTCCCTCAAGAGCCAATTGCAGGATACCGTGGCAAGCACAAGAGAACAAGTGCAAGGAAATATGGACTGAGCATCATGGTGCCACACTGAGGCTGGCACACAATACCCTTTTAAGAAAAATGTCATTTAATTTTTACAGCAAACCTATGAAGTCGGTTTCTAATATTATCCACTTTATACAGTTGACAGAATGGTAGCCCAAAGATTACCTTTAAGTTACTTTTTTCAAGGTCCTGCATCTAAGAAGTGGCAGAGTTGAAATTTGAACCCATGTCTATACTCTGTTCATAAAACGGAGTAGAACCTAGGTCTCAAGGTGTCTATTTCAGAGCTATTTTTAATATCTCTCCAAAAGTAATTTAAACAAATACAACTGAATATATTGCTTTTTAAAATGATATTTACTCATGCTTTTCTAGATGTGAAAATCTGCCTCAATAAATATATATTTTTAAAAACATAAAAAGTACACCTTTTAAAGCAAATTTTAGTGAAGCTTTAGAAGGAGAAAACAAACAAACAAAAAACATGTAGACTGTATGAACTGAAAGTCCTGAGAACGCAAGAACATAATTTTATGTGCTTATGGCAATTAAAAGAGGTTAACTGAGTAGCATTTAAATGCAAAATCACATTTTCATATGACTGGAGGGGAATCTGTGTGCAGTTGGCTAATAAGAACCAATGGTGATTATTAGGTGGGGCCATGATCTTTGAATGTCTGATCCCACTTCTATACAGTGAATATCAAGGTTCAATATTGCTTTATTTGCTTTTTAAAACCCAACCAAAACCAAAAACCCAACTAATTTGATTTGCAGCATTAAGCATCTTACTCTTAAAGCCTATGATGTTTAAGAAAATATAGTGTTGGAGGTGAGGCATAGCCACGGTGTGCTTCTCAGCTCTGTTCATTCTATTTGGAAGACAGATAGAGGGACAGCGTGTCTATAGATTTGACAGAATCTGTTAAATTAAAACAACAACAACATCAGAAAGAGACAGGATGACCTTCTTCCATAGAATCTGAGATGGTGGATGATGGATGGCTTGTTGATGATCGGAGCAGTCGGGTACCAGGATCATGAGACTTACAAGTCCGAGGTCAAACAGACTGGCCTTGTAGCACCCTTGACCCTGTGGGGACCGTAGGCAAATTATGGAGCTCTTTTGAACCTCAGTTTCTGCATTCGTTGAAAAAGGACTGAGGTTCATTCTTATAGCAGGGTTGCATGAAGATTCTATCAGGTAAAGCATGTAGCTGAGCAATCACACATCCCAATTTGCATGGGACCGTCATGGAGTCATTATATATTTTACTTTCACTTTTAAGAGGGTTCCAGTTAGGATTATCATTTAAATGGTCACTCTAAGGAGCAAGAACATAGAACAGTGCCTGGAGTGAGTGAGTCCTCAGTGAATGTTTGCTTATTTTTGCTAAAGTCATTGCTAGTGTTTTTACTGTTATACTGTATTAGTAAGACAAGTAATTTCCATACACTATGTATTTTCAACATATATCCTAGAAGCTAAGTAAAAGTGATGTGTTTTATATATTCTAATCAGTTTGTGATTTTTAGTTCCTTTAAAACTTTAGATGGAAATGAAATACGTTTATATTAAGATGTGCTACATAAAACCTGTGTGTCTAATATTTAATAGATGAACAGTGTATTTACACTACCAGGGTTCAGCCCAGAGTTGACTTTACGTAATTTGAACTCCAAACAGTAAAACTTGCAGCTGAATTATTTGTAATCAGCTTAATTTCCTTCTTTATTTTTTACAGTTTGTGGGCTGCATATAACCCTACTCCAATCGAAGTGTATTTTATTCTGGCATTGCGATATCAAAACCAGATTTGAAAGAGGAATATAGATGTCCAATATCCATGAAAACCTCAATTAAACTCCTTAATACAATCTTCTAAAATTTTATGTTTCAGTTAGGGACAGTTCTCACCTCGAAACCTAACACATTATAAGGCAATGAGGCATACACACACACACACACACACACACACACACACACCTCACCACATATATATTGTTATTTAAAGGAACTGAATATATCTTTGGAAAGCCAATAAAATTTGGGCTGGAGGCAAGTGAATGTATCCAAAATAGGAATGAGACTGTCGCCTATGAATTGAGAAAAAAAAAATTTTAAATAAAGATTCTAAAACCTGTGATCCAAAGATTCTTTATGGAAGCATTCTGATATAAATAGTAAAATAAGAATAATGCCATCAAAAAAGAAACAATCATAAAGAACATAATAAAAAGACCCTAAGACGAAGAAGAGGAGATTGTCAGATAAAGACTAATGTCTATTTTTTATTTTTATACTCACTAAATGTAATGTTGTGGTGGATTAATGGAAGCTAAAAATTCCCCACTCTGCCCAGAAGGCAGAACTCCATACTCCTTGTCTTGAATCTGGGATGAATGGGAACTCAGCTGCTACTGTGAAATCTGAAGACATGTGTTAATGACTTCCAGACAATAAAGCGGTGAGTAGAAGATGAATGGGCCACAGAGAGACTACCAGTGAGGGCTAGGACAGTGAGGAAATGGTTCTATGAGGAAGTCTATGTTACTTCCACCCCACTTTTTGGGAACAGGAGTGTCTACTGCCATCTTGCAGTTAACTTATATCTGCCACACTGCTCTTTGTTGGGTAAACAAAGAGTGTACACATACACATACACACACACACACACAATTTTATGCTTAAAATTATATATATATGTATGTATGTTTTCTTTTAGCCAATTTTTTAATGTGTTTGTGTCTGAAAACTATTTAAAAAATATTGGAAGATGGGCTGCATTGACATCAAAGGCAATGGGAATCCCTTAGCCCTGAGAATCTATAAAAGGGCATCTAACCCCTCCAACTCCCATTTCAGCTGCAGAGTTATCCACAAGCCTATTGGTGGTGAGCATGCTCATTTTGTTAGCAAGTTACTAATCTAGAGGCTAAAAAGTTCACATCCTCCAGACTTTCTTTTTCCTACCCCTTTCCTAGCAACCTCTCAGTTTATGCAAACATGGGGGCAAGCACACTCACTGTGGAGTTTTTGCTCTGAGTTAGAGTGTATCCACCTCTGACCTGTGGCTTCTTAGGCAGCTTCACCTGTCCAGGGGCTACCGTAATATCTCACTGGCTTTGAAAGACACATGGGCTGCATTAGTTTAGTTGGTTCACTGTGTATGAATAAAACATTGCTTAACTTCTTCAGATTTAGTTTCCTTTTTATTCACTTAAAAGTTGCATCTACCTGACATAATTTTGTGAGCATGAAATAAACTAATGTGGAAAGCAGTCACTGCAATGCTGGGCGCACGCTTGGCACATCCTCAGTAAATAGGAGAAGTATGGGATAAGTCAGAGTAATGAGTGTTATTGTGATAATGAGGCTAGTCATAATGGCATCACTTAAATGATTTGCTAAGTGCTAGGTACTATTCTAAGCAGTGGGCATATATTGACTCATTTAGATCTCACAGTAATGCTACAATGCTAGTCTTACATTATCATTTTAAAATGAGAAGACTGGTGCATATATGAGTTCAGTATCATATCCAAGTTCAGCATAGCTACTGCTGCTGCTGCTGATGATGATGATGGTAGTTACAACAGAGGCCATGAGAATAGGCAAGGAAGAGAGAAGAGGGGAAAAGAGTAGAAACAAAAGAGAGATGAAAGAATTAGAGGGAGACAACCGGACGCGGTGGCTCAGGCCTGTAATCCCAGTACTTTGGAAGGCTGAGGTGGGCGGATCACGAGGTCAGATCGAGAACATCCTGGCTAACACGGTGAAAACCTGTCTCTACTAAAAATACAAAAAATTACCCGAGCATGGTGGTGGGCACCTGTAGTCCCGGCTACTCCGGGAGGCTGAGGCAGGAGAATGGCATGAACCTGGGAGGCGGGGCTTGCAGTGAGCCGAGATCGTGCCACTGCACTCCAGCCTGGGCGACAGGGCGAGACTCCCTCTCAAAAAAAAAAAAAAAAAAAGAATTAGAGGGAGATGGGGTAAAACATGTCCATTTTGAACTGTATTTCCAGACTCAGAGAATAAGAATTTGTATTCTTGCTACCAGATGAGACTGAAAAAGACACAGAAGTTTATTATTCAACTTCATGTTTGGAAAGCAAAAGCAAGGGGCAGTGAAAGTGTGCAACTGGTCAAGGGTCTAACTTTGGAGCTATCTGGGTATGTTCATACTATATTACTTTGATCAGATTTATTTGGACAAACAGGAAATGTAACTAAGCAACAAGCGGAAACTAAAGAGATCATATTTAGAATTTGGTAAGAAGTGAAATGAATTTGAATGTTCTTTACTGCTGGAGCTATAATTATAGGTTTTAACTACCTGCCGGGGGTAGAAAGGGAAAGGGAATAAAATGGTTTAGCATGAGTCAAAAAATTATCTTCGAGTGGCATGCCAGAAAATGTTGACTTAAGAAGTAATTGTTCTTATTAACTTTTATCTGAGGTAATTTCATAATTGATCTAGAAATATAAATAATAACATAATGTTTGCACTTTTAGAAGGAAAGCTCTCTTTAAGGTTAGTAATATCTGTAATTTGTCAAGAAATTTTTTTTCCTACCTTCATCTCCTCTGTGTACCACTTCAAAGAAAATCAAGCATTTTCAGGCATTCCAAAAGGTATCTGTGTCTGTTAGAACAGCCTTTACTAAAATTAAGTTGGCAGGTTACTTATCGGGGGATGGGTCGCCAAAATCTCAGAATTCACTACTAAAGAACTTATTATACATGTAATAAAATACCACCTGTACTCCAAAAACTATTAAAATAAAAAATATTTTTAAAAGAATAACTTTATGATTGAGAAATCACATTACAAATAAATATCCTTGGACTCCAACAAAGAAATGCTATACCATAATCTCTGATAAAGAGTCCCAGGAATTTTCATCTTTAATAAGCAACCCAGGTGATTTTATTTCTTTCAGTCATGCTTTGAAAACAAAATCTAAAAAATGTGTCTTTCTAGTGTAATCAAGAACTTCTCTATTTCACTGCAGCTTCTAATCATAATTTTGTGTCTCCAAATAGTTATGCCAATGAACTGAGATTCTTTTTCTTACTTAGAAACACTGCCTTTACACTACAAAATAGTTTTAAAGCTTTGAGGACATGAGTCCTTTTTCTCAGTTTCTTAGCATTGGAACAGGAAGAAAAACACAGAAGTATTGGTATTCGTAGATATGGGTTGAAAGAGCTCAAAGCAAACTTGAAGATATCCTAGGCACTAGCAAACATCTGACTTGCCCCATGAAAGTATAAGGGAACTAGGAAGGCCGTATGTCAAAGATAATCAAGTGTAATTACCCTGCATCTGAACCAGAACTCTATTTCTCTCAATTACTAAATCCAGAAAAGAAACTTAATGGAAGATACGTATTATACAGAGTCCCTCAGAAATAAAGAAGGAATCCTACTTTATATTAATAGTATGTTAAACCATTACATAATATATATATGATATAAATATTCTTCCTCTTTCTTGACTGCATGGAAAATCCTAGAAATTCTGGAAAGGAAACAGTAAATAAAAGCTTTCTTTTGATCTCCGTTTGCAAGGGCACTAGTTTTCTATGACTTGGTGGAGAGCATCATGATTATGGTCTTTAATGACAAGAAGGACTGACATAAGTAACATAAGCTTAAAGATTTAGGCTTGAACATTGGGGGAGGAGGACCAGGATCAATAGGTTGAAGTAACTGGAAAGTAGATTTCTGAATCCATATAAAAATATTTGTGCAAAGTCTAAGATGACAAACAGCAGAATAGACTTTCCTAACAGTTACTAAAATTACAGCCCACTAGGAGGATCCAAGCAGAAGCCACATAAAATGTACTCCTGAGTACATTCAAAGAGAAGGTATGGCTGGTTGAGATAGTAACTAAGAAGATCCTCATTTTTTCTTCCTATGACTGTCTTATTCACACTTTTGGTTCTGTGGTTTTATTTATTTAATGACATAATTCTTTGTCATCTTTCTTTTACTTTGTCATCTTTTCTTTTCTTTTACTTTGAAGTGTGTGTTGTTTAAAAGGTAAGTTTCAGAAACATGATGAGCATATTGGGACAGAGGTAAAAAATGTTTATTATGTTTCCAAGAAGATTATGTATTGTTCACCAGCTGTTGCATATTAATCTATCTTAATCTTTCTGCCATCTGTCTTTAGTTACCCCCCAAAATTAGACTGTCCTAAAAACTAGACAGGATAAAGAATAATATAAAGACGTGTGAAATGGAATTAATTATAATCAAGTTTCATACTTACATCAATGCCAATCTAATTCACCTTGCCATAAAGAAGCTGAAATGAATGAATAAAAGTTACTGTTGTTTTAGGACTTACATATTATCTTTTGAAAATAAACATCTTTGCACATTAAAAGCCACTTGAGGTTTCTGGTTCCACATGCAAGAAGCTTCAAAGTTGCTAGTCCATTGTAACAAGAAGTAAAAAGCTGAAAAAAATTGAAGAAACAATAACTGTTCTTATTAGGTTTGTTTAAAAGTAATTACAATTTTTTGCTTTTGAACCAACCTAATAGATCTTAAGACTGTTAAGGACATAGGACAAACTGCTGCCCTCAAGACTGGAGAGAGAAATAGGCAAATACAAGGAGTCAGAAGCAGAAAGCACTGTGGGAACAACTACAGGATTAGGGGAACTTAAATTGTAATAAACAAATTGCTGGGTTCAGTGTGGACAAGTCTGAGAGTTACAAACTACGGGAGATTCCAGTTGTATGGAGCCCCCACAATCTTGTGAATTTACCACCAGGAGGTTGACTAGCTTTTCACTGGTCAGTTCAGTGAGTTAGAGGAAATTCCCCTCATGCTTCCTGCAGAGGAAATGAAGGAAGAATCATTTTGAAATAAGCCCATACACTCTATTCTTAGTAAAGTCTGCCCTCAGGAGAAATCAGTTAATCACATCCTAATCTGCTGAGACACTCTCAGAGCCCAGCTGATCTTAGGGAAGGGTATTACACAACTCCCATCAGCCATAGCCATCCACATGGGGGGGAAAAAAAAGAAAAACATGTATTGTTCACAGTCCAGAGACAAAGGCTGACTAACTGAGACCAAACCGTGGGACCGTAGAACTCTTCCCCATCCCAACACCTTACTATCACATCACTACATGCCTATTTTTAACAGTTCCTTTCACATGATACATCATGTCTGGATAGAAAGAAAAAAATTTACAAGGTATACTAAAGGCAAATCAATAAAAAGAAAAAAAAAAAACCACACAATTTGAAGACACAGAGCAATCAGGACCAGGCATAGCAAGGAAGCTGGAATTAGAAATTTAAAGCAACTATGTTTAATATGATAAGGACTCCAATGGATAATGTAGACAGCATGCAAGAACAGATGGCCAATCTAAGCAGAGAGATGGAAATTCTAAAAAAGGATCAAAAAGAAATACTAGAGATCAAAAATACAGTAACAGAAATGAAGAATGCCTTTGATGGGATTAGTACTAGTTGACACAATGGAAAAAATAATTTCTGAGATTGAGGATATCTCAACACAAATCTCCAAAGCTGAAGAGCATGAAGAAAAAATAAAAAAGACTGAAAACAAAAGAGAATTTCCAAGACAGTTGGACAACTACAAAAGGTTTAACAACTATAATGGGAATACCTGAAAGAGCAGAAATATTAGAAGGAAGAGAAGAAACATGTAAAACAATAACCACAGATACAAGAAGGTGGCTAGGCGCATTGAACCTTGCCTATAATCCCAGCACTTTGAAAGGCCAAGACAGGCGGTTGCTTGAGCCCAAGATTTTGAGAACAGCCAGAGCAACATGATGAGATCTTGTCTCTATAAAAAATATTTTAAAAATTAGCCAGGTGTGGCTGGGCATGGTGGCTCACGCCTGTAATACCAGCACTTTGAGAGGCCAAGGCAGGCAGATCACCTGAGGTCAGGAGCTTGAGACCGACCTGTCCAACATGGAAGAAACCCCATCTCTACTAAAAATACAAAATTAGCCGGGCGTGGTGGTGCATGCCTGTAATCCCAGCTACTCGGGAGACTGAAGCAGGAGAATCGCTTGAACCCGGGAGGCAGAAGTTGCAGTGAGCCAAGATCGTGCCATTGCACTCCAGCCTAGGCAACAAGAGCAAAACCTCTATCAAAAAAAAAAAAAAAAATTAGCCAGGTGTGGTGGCATAAGTTTATGTCCCCGGCTACTTGAGAGGCTGAGGTGGGAGGATTGAGGATTGTGTAAGCCTAGGAGTTCCAGGCTGCAGTGAGCCATACTCATGCCACTTGCACTTCAGTCTGAGCAACAGACTGAGAAGATCCAGTCTCAAAACAAAACAAAACAAAAACAAAAACAAACAGAAAGCCTGAAAAAACAAAACCCCAAAAAGCTAAGAGGGCACAAAGCAAGATAAAAGCAAGTAAAACTATACCTAGGCATATTATTTTTAAACTACAGAAAATCAAAGATAAGGAAAAAATTCTAAAAGAAGCCAGCAGTGGAGGAAATGTTACCTATAGAGAAGGAAGGTAACAATTGCCTCCAACTTCATGGAAAATTTTTCAGGCAAGAAGAGAATGGAGTGAAGTATGTAGTGTTCAGAGAATAAAACTACCAACCTAGAATTCTGTACCCTGTAAAATTATCCTTCAAAAGTAATGCAGAAATATAAGCCTGTCTTAACAAATAAAAACTGAGGGAATATGTTATCTACAAGATATGTCAAAAGGAGATCCTTAGAAAGAAGGAAAATAATGTAGTTTAGAAATGCATATATAATAAGGAAAAGAAGAGCCGTGGAGAATAAATGCAGGTAAAATAACAACTTTTTGTTTTTATCCTTAATTGATACAACAGATAACTCTCTTTTCAAAATAATAATAGCTAAAATATATTTTATTATGTATGCCTGTGTGTGTGTGTCTGTGTGTGTGTGCGTGTGTGCATGTGCATGGATGCCTATCTGTTTGTATATAAATGAAATAACAGCAATGACATAAGGTATCAAAGGGAGATATCAGAATTATTTTGTTATTATAAGTTACTCACACTAACCATAAAGTACAGTGTTGTTTGGACATGGATTAGTTGTAGTATATTGCAGACTTTAATGCAACCACTAGAAAAAGTAAAAAATACATACAAAAAAGAACTATAACTGAAAATAGGAACAAGGAACAATGCCAATTAATAGAAAATGGTAACAAATATGATAGCTGGCAATTAATTATTTTTAAGCTATTAATTCTTTTTTTTAAGACAGAGTCTCAATCTGTCACCCGGGCTGGAGTGCAGTGGCACAATCTTGGCTCACTGAAGCCTCTACCTCCCAGGTTCAAGAGATTCTCCTGACTCAGCCTCCCAAGTAGCTGGGATTACAGGTATGTGCCATCATACCCAGCTAATTTTTGTATTTTTAGTAGAGATGTGGTTTCACCATGTAGGCCAGCTGGTCTCAAACTCCTGACCTCCAGTGATCTGCTTGCCTCAGCCTCCCAAATTGCTGGGATTACTGGTATGAGCCACCATACCCAGCCTAATAGCAATTAATTATATTATATCAATAATCACTTAAAATGTCAGTGGTCTAAATGCAGTAATTGAAAGACAAAAATTGTTAGAGCATATCAAGAAACAAGAACCAATTATATGTTCTCTACAAGAAACCTACTTTAAATATAAGGACACGCATATATAAAAAGTAAACGGTGAAAGATATACCATGCTAACACTAATGAAAAAAATGTGACAATAGCTATATTAACTTCAGAGCAAGGAAAGTTATCCGGGATAAAGAAGGACATGGTGTAATAATAAAGGGCTCAATTCTTCAGAAAACATAACAACTCTTATGTGTATGTGCCTAATGAAAGAGTGTCAAACTATGTGAGGCAAAAACTAAAAGAAGAGGGAGAAGTGAATGAATCTAATATTGTTGGAGGTTTCAATATCCCTCTGTCAGAAGTGGACAGATCCAACAGACAATAAATCAGTAAGGACACAGTTAAACTCAGCAACACCATCAGTCAACTGAATATAATTGGAATCAGACTACTTTAGCCAAGAGCTGAATATACATTTTTCTCAAGTTCACATGAGACATTCACCAAGATAGGCCACATTCTTGGCCATAAGGCACCACTTAACAAATTTTAAATAATAAAAATCATACCATGTCTGTTCTTAGACCACATTGGAATTAAACTAAAAATCAATAACAGAAAAATAACTGGAAAATCTCAAAATATGTGGAGATTAAGAAACACATTTTTAAATAATAACTGTGTCAAAGAAAAAAATTCAAAATAATTTTTAAAAATTTAAACTAAATAAAAATTAAAATCCAACATCACAATTAATGAAATGCAACACAAGCAGTGGGATGCTTATGAAATATGTCGGGTGTTTAGAGCAAAATGCATAGCACTGTATGCACATATTGGAAGAAGAATAATCTAAAATCAATAATCTAAGTTTCTGCCTAGGAAACTAGAAAAATAAGAGCAAATTCAATGCATTGTAAGGAGAAGAAAACCAAAAAGAATTAGAGCAGAAATCAATGAAATTGGAAAGACAAAATCAAGAGAAATTTTTTTTTTTTTTTTTTTTTTTTTTTTTTTTTAGACAGAGTCTGGTTCTGTCGCCCAGGCCGGAGTGTGCAGTGGCCAATCTCGGCTCACTGCAAGCTCTGCCTCCCAGGTTCATGCGATTCTCCTGCTTCAGCCTCTAGAGTAGCTGGGACTAGAGGTGCCCGCCACCACGCCTGGCTAATTTTTTGTATTTTTAGTAGAGACGGGGTTTCACTGTTAGCCAGGATGGTCTCTATCACCTGACCTCGTGATCCACCTGCCTTGGCCTTCCAAAGTGCTGGGATTACAGGCGTGAGCCACTGTGCCCGGCTGAGAAAATTTTTTAAAAAACTCAAAAGCTAGTGCTTTCAAAGATCAATAAAAGAATAAAATCAATAATAATTCAGACAATCTAAGAAAAAAAGCAAGGATACAAATTACAAATATCAGAAATGAGGGGCTTCCCTACATATTTCATGGGCCATATACTAAGAATAACTCTATTTCCACAAATTTGCTAATCTCGATTAAATGAACCAATGCCTTGAGAGACACAATCTGTCAAAACTCACGCAAGTAGAAATAAGCAATCTTAATAGCCTTACATCTATTAAAGAAATCGAATTAATAATTATACCCTTCCAAAACAGAAATCGCCAGGCCCAGATGAGTTCAGTGGTGGATTCTACCACCCCTTTAAGAAAAAAAAATACCAATGGTCTATAATCTCATTCAAAGGATAGAAGCAGAGGGAATATTTTTAAACTCATTCTATGGGGCTGGAATTAATCTAAAACCAGGCTAAGACATTACAAGAAAAGAAAAAGAAAAATAAAGACAAATTATCACATGAACATAGATTCACAAAGTATCCACAAAATATTAGCAAATCAAATCCAAAAATGATTTAAAATAATTATACAGCACGACCAAATGAGATTTATTCCACTTATGTATACCTGGCTCAACACTTGAAAACTGATGAACATAATGCATCACATGAACAGCCCAAAACAAAAAAAACACATGATCATCATAAATGCACGCGGAAAAAGCATTTGACAAAATCCAACATCCAAGACCCATTCATGATGAAAACTTTCAGTAAACTAGGAATAGAAGAGAATTCCCTCAACTTGATAATGGTTATCTACAAAAAACCTACAGTTAACAACATACTTAATGATGGTATACTAGAAACTTTTCCACTAAGATTAGGAACAAAACAAGGAGCTACCCTCTAATCACTCTTTTTTTTTTTTTTTTTTTTTTTGAGACAGTCTCGCTCTGTCACCCAGGCTGGAGTGCAGTAGCGTGATCTCGGCTCACTGCAAGCTCCGCCTCCCAGGTCCACACCATTCTCCCACCTCAGCCTCCCAAGTAGCTGGGACTACAGGTGCACACCGCCACACCTGGCTAATTTTTTGGATTTTTAGTAGAGACGGGGTTTCACCATGTTAGCCAGGTTGGTCTCGATCTCCTGACCTTGTGATCCGCCTGCCTCGGCCTCCCAAAGTGCTGGGATTACAGGCTTGAGCCACCGTGCCCGGCCTCTAATCACTCTTTTTAAACATTGTACTGAAAGTCCCAGCAGATGCAATAAAATAATAAAAGGTAGTAAAAGCAATACAGACTGTAAAGGAAGAAATAAAACTGTGTTTGTTTGCTGATGTCATGATTATGTAGAAAATATGAAAGACTCGACAAGAAAAACTTCTGGAAATAATAAGAGGTTGTAGCAAGATTGCAGAATACAAGTTTAATCCAGTGAAGTCAATCACTTTCTTAAATACCAACAATAACAATACTTGATGAAAAAAATAAAAAAAAAAGAACTAAGTAAATGGAGAGTTATTCCACATTCATGGATAAGAAGGCTTAAAATTTCAAGATTTCAATTCTTTCCAACTTAATCTAAATAGATTCCATACAATCCAACTCAAAATCCCAGCAAGTTATTTTGTGGATATCAACAAAGTGATTCTAAAGTTTATATAGGGAGGAAAAAGACTAAGACTAGCCTACACAACATAGAAGAAGAAGAACAAAGTTGGAGAACTCACACTATTCAACTTCAAGATTTACTATTAAGTTACCGTAATAAAAACAATGTAGTATTGAAAGAATAAACAATGGATAGATCAATGGAAGAAAATAGCCTAGAAATAGACCCACATAAATATTATCAACTGATCTTTGATAAAGGAGCAAAGGCAGTACAACGGAGGAAATATAGTCTTTTCAACAAATGGTGCTGTAACCACTGGGCATCCACTTGCAAAAAATAAAGCAACGACCCTTTTCAAAAAAATAACTCAAAGTAAATTATAGACTACGTTGTGTCAATGTAGGTTTATACATTGTAACAATGGTACCACCTTTTATAATTGTCACAATTGTACCTCCTTGGTGGGGAATGTTGATAATGGGGGAAGTCTATGCCTGTGTGGAGGCAGGTAGCATATGAGAAATCTCTGTACCTCTATGTTTTGCTGTGAACCTGTAAGTGCTTTTAAAAAAGTCTTTTAAAATAATGCATACTTACTATAGTGCATGCTGATGAATTTTTTAATGGTTTAAGTTAATAAGACATGCCTAAAATCAGATTTCTAAATTTGTCTAATCCCCTTTGTGGGTAGAAATCCAGAGGCATGTTACTTTGAAAATTAAAATAATTTGGAATCCCATTTGCTTATCTGCTGATTTTTTGTGTGTAGATTAAATTGGTGCATGATATTATTAATACGGAAGAATAATAAAATACAGAATTTTAAATATCAAGCTAGAATGAACTATTGCTAGTTTAGGTTATCTTAATTAGGATTCTTTTGCAAATTATTGAAGTATTTCTTCAAAAAATTTTAAAAGGTTTAAACATTTTAAAAAATGTACTTAAGTAAACTATGTTTAAAGAACAAAATTTACAGCTTGAACCCAGACTCTGGGGTGTGAGATATCTCATCTTGGAAACTGTGCCTATTAATTAATAACTAATAAATGAGAGGGTACATCCATAAATATATGTGAACAAATTTTCTTTTTTATGATTATTTTACACTATGAATTTTGTTTTGCATCTTATAGAGACAAAGTTATCTTACACATAGTTTTACCAAATATATTTAATGTGCCTGATTTGCACAACTTGATCCTGAATAGAATAATGTTGTATGTACATGTGAGCATTTTAATACTTCAGTCTGTTGGGCTTTGAACTTCTCATTAGGAATTATGTGCTCCCATTTTTACTACCTGGTCATGTGAGTAACTTCAGGCCCATAAAATCTGTACATGCAAGCCTGAGTCCTTCTTTCACAACTAATGTCAATTGTTAAAAGATTAGGCCAGTGTTTTAGTCCAAGACCTATTTTATTCCTTCAGACTGTATAAGCGAACTTTTTCTATGAATTTTCTAAGGCTAAAAAAAAAAACCTGTCCACTGACACTTAAAATAACCAAGATCAAATTAATTACTTAAAAAATTAAATTTTATTTTAGTTTTGAAAAAAATAAATTTACATTAACGGAGGTAACTGTACAAAAAGATTTACTTAGCCACTACTCAGTTTTGATAATTATACAGGTATTAATCCATTTTCTTAAATTATTCTTTTTTAAAATATTTTTTGTAAGTTCCTTTAAATATTTGAAAATGTACCTTGAGCATCATGGCATTAGACTTCCACTTAACATCAGTGTATCTCTCTACCTCTCTATCTCTATGTACGTCATTATATGACATAAAAATATATAAACATATGTCTATAATAAAAATTGTAAAATACTATTTTTATAGAACAGTAATGTCAGTATCATACCTAACATATTTAAATATTGTAAAGTCTACTCTTGAGGATTTTGGCTCAGCTAGATACTTAAATTCACAAGAATTAAGTAGCCCTATTTGGCATTGACAGATAAAAGGAGAGAAAACAACAGAGCATGCCAGGACAGCATTAAATATGCTTATTCAACAGAAGTCTTCAAAGAAATTCATCCAGTGACCCAAAAACTATTCTTTGTGTCTCTATCCAAGTTTCTTCTCAGGTATGAGGGCATGAGGTCACATTTGTTGGAGCCATCTTGGCTTAGAAACTTCATATCCAAAGAATCCCAAGTTAGGAAAGATTCTGACAAAGCTCTGGTTTCCCAGAAAGTAGTTGCAGTTCATTCGTAGTTTCCTTGGATGAGATGCCTTCTACCAGTCTCAGGATGACTTTAAAATTAAGGAACAGGCACACAGGAAGGCAGCTGACATTTTAGGATTACAGGTCTTCCAGGAGAATACAGCCAGAATCTTGACCCAAGATCAACTGTGCAATAAAAAAGGGAAAAACTTTGGCCCCTTACTCAAAGTCCACCTCCAAGTGCTAATACTTTTGCCATAGAAAAAGCAAGTCAATAGACATTTGACCATGAGGATTTGAACCACAAGTATCTAAAGGGTATTAGAATCCTCCTCATTCCCTAATTAGTTGAACTATTTTGGGAAAGAACAAATAGTTTTATAGGTCTCACAATGTTTGATTGTCCTGATGATCATAAGGCAAATTTACATCAAATAGCATTAAATGACAACAAGCAGAGATCAGTAAATATTTTATTTCTTTTAGCATAAGTGTTCTTTCAGGGGTAGCATAGGTAAATCTAGGGTTTCATCAAATCTGAAGGCACAGTTATACACCTATGACAACAAAGAACAGTGTTATTCTTCTGATTTGGCATGTCAAACTGAAATTGCAGTCCCAACATTGGCAGTGGGTGTGTAGTTAAATCGGTGTACAAAACTATGGCTTAAGATTTATCTGTAGGTGGCCGGGCGCGGTGGCTCACGCCTGTAGTCCCAGCACTTTGGGAGGCCGAGGCGGGCGGATCACGAGGTCAGGAGATCGAGACCATCCCGGCTAAAACGGTGAAACCCCGTCTCTACTAAAAATACAAAAAATTAGCCGGGCGTAGTGGCGGGCGCCTGTAGTCCCAGCTACTTGGGAGGCTGAGGCAGGAGAATGGCGTGAACCCGGGAGGCGGAGCTTGCAGTGAGCCGAGATCCCGCCACTGCACTCCAGCCTGGGCGACAGAGCGAGACTCCGTCTCAAAAAAAAAAAAAAAAAAAAAAAAAAAAAAAAAAAAAAAGATTTATCTGCAGGTACCATCTTGTAGCTAGCTGCAGAAATGCTTTCACATTGCTATTACTGCCATCCTTCAGAGACTCCTCAGGACATGGTCAGAGTACACCACACACATGGGGACTGAGACATTCCACAAAGGTGTATCTTTGAAATATCAGAGTTTTGGCAAGGTCCTGCCAATGTCATCAAATGCCCTTTGGATGTCAGTCTGCTGATAGCCTTTCTGGAATAATGCCTCAGCACATAATATTTTTCTTGCTTCCTCTCACTCATCTCCAGCTTTTTGAGTGCTGTAGGGTCCAAAGGTACATCTTAGTACAGAATGAAGCCCAAGTGGAACAACAGCCAATACCAACATGACAGTTCCAGCCCATTTAACTGACTACAGTTTTAGTCACAAACAAGTGATGCAGGATTTTTGCTCCTTTAGCTAAAGTCTGGGTTCTTGTTTCATCACCAGGAAAAATTAGGCAAGTGGACACCGTATAGTGAATGGAATAGAATTTATTAGGCAAAAAAAAAAAAAAAAAAAAAAAAAATGCTTTCAGCAAAGAGAGGGCTCCTAAAAAGCAGGTTGTTGGTTGTCCCCTTAACAGTTGAATACAAGGGTTTTTATATATAAGCTGATGTGGGTAAGTCCCCTAATTGTATAAAACACAGATTTCTGGTGATTTGACCCCGTTCCCTCAGTGCACATTAGGCCCTTTGTCCGCTGAGGGCATGTTTAGGCAAGCCCCCCGTGCAAGTTCCCTTATCTGCACAAAACATGAGTCAGAGGTTCTCCAGGGACTCTTCCCTTACTGTCTGCCTAAAGCAAGCTGGCTATAACTCCTTTCACAAGAGATCTGTGAATTTGAGTGTCTGCGTTGGGCCCTTGTCGAGGCGTCAGTGCATGGTTTGACCTGTATCTACTGTAATCTCTGCAAATGGTATTTGGCTTAAGATTGCATCAATCCAATGGCAGTGTCACATCTTCTTGCCAAACAATAGCTGAATTAGGGGTCAGGCCAGTCTCAGTGAGTACAGTGGGCAGTATTTCTTCTCAGCACAAACTTGCCACACTTACGTCCTTACTCAATATTCAAAATGAGAAGACATATCTCTTATCACATGCTGCAGAATTTTACCATCAAATTGAGATGGATCAGCTCCCATCTTAACATCGTAAACATCCCAATCTATTTTGTCTAGAACTCTAGCCAACTGCTGATTATTCTCTGCAAGATTCACTCCAGGTGACTGTAGGCTCAACTAGACAAACAAATTCACAAGACCCAAATAAGCCACTTTTGGCAATAGCTTCATTCATTAGGGCACGAGGACAGAAACACAGCACGACAGCAATGAGTGCCCTCTCAGCAGGTTACTATGACGGGAGCCTCTTCAATGATTGTCCTCAGGAGTTCAAGCCATTTTCCAGGGACTGTTCTCTTTGCCCCCTGCCAAGTAACAGCACAGATGAAAGGGGATCAGTCACATTAATAGAAGCAAGAGTTACTGGCTTAGAAATTCCATGTTTCACATAGAAGATGAGTTTGTTATAATAGTTGTATGTGCATCACCCGAATGGATCCTAAAAAAGAGCACATGCAGTCACAAGAGTAACTTCACTCTAGGGAGAATAAATCCTCTAAGTATTTATAGTTAATTCACAGTCCTCCGAGTCAAGATAAGAACTCTCCATCATGGAACGTTTTTAGAAACCTGGCCTGGAAACACAGCTAATATTGTATCTTCATTAGGTTTTCAAGAGAACAGGACTAGAAACATTTTAATTCAGGGTCAATTTTTCATGTTAAAGAAGATCAGTTTTGTAAACCATTTACACAAAACCATATATTTTTAAAATTTAATATTCAGGCCATAATATTTTCTATTTGTCTCAGTAAGGCAAACAAAAGGAAGTTTCCTATAGCCAGTATTACAGGCTCCACAGATTGTTGTGGTCTTCCCAAAGTGCTTTAACTTATACTTCCACTTGTTACTTGGTGGCCTGCTGTCCCTCAATGATAGAGGTGGTGAGGGCTAGTGTTGTCCTGATGCGATGACATTGAACCTAGAGCCCGACAATAATCTTCCAACCCTCAACTCACTGTTTTAGTTATGGCAGAAATACCACTTAAAAGGTCCACCACCAGCAAGGCACAGTGGCTCAGGCCTATAATCCCAGCCCTTTGGGAGGCTGAGTTGGGGGAAAACTTCAACCCAGGAGTTGAAGACCAGCCTGGGTAACATGGCAAAACCCAATCTCTACTAAAAATCCAAAAATCACCCAGGTGTGGTGGTGCATGCCTGTAATCCCAGCTACCCCAGAGACTGAGGTGGGAGGATTGCTTGAGCCCAAGAGGTAGAGGCTGTAGAAAGCCTCATGATTGCACCACTGTACTCTAACCTGGGTGACACGGTAAGAGCCTGTCTCAAAAAAACAAAACAAAACAATTGGCCACTGGTAACTATTCCACTTGCCAATCCCCACATTTGATATAAAAAATTGATTCTCCAAATTTAGAAAGCAATGAAAAATTAGTAAAGTAAGCTATTCACTGGATGCTCAATGAAATGGGATTTTCTGAGGCATATGTGTGTGGGCATGGTTTTATGTAATTTTTTTCTCTCTCCCTCAGTATTAAGTGTCAATAATTGTGGCCCAGGCGTGGTGGCTGATGCCTGTAATTCCAGCATTCTTTGGCAGGCTGAGGTGGGTGGATCACGAGGTCAGGAGATCAAGACCATACTGGCCAACATGGTGAAACCTCGTTTCTACTAAAAATATAAAAATTAGCTGGGCATGGTGGCTCATGCCTGTAGTCCCACCTACTCGGGAGGCTGAGGCAGGAGACTTGAACCCCAGACACAAAGGTTACAGTAAGCGAGACTCCATCTCAAAAAAAAAAAAAAGGAATTGTGGAAGATGCTTTAGGTACAAAGGTGGCCAATAAACACTTTGGTCTTTGTCCTTATGGAATGTAGAATTTAATGGGGGTAATGAAAAATTGGTAGGCATTTTACTAGTGAGAGCTAGGGAGCCAGTGGTTAAGGGGAATATATGTATCAACTGAACAACAGAGATTTGGAGTCCCTCTTTTAAATTTTTTTCTTTTTACTTTTTAGAGACATGATCTCGCTCTAAACTCCTGGGCTCAAGCAATCCTCCCGCTTCAACCTCCCAAGTAGCTGGTACTACAGGCACATGCTACTATGTCCAGCTAAGTCTACTCTTTTTAAAATAAAAATTTATTTCCCCTTTTTTCTAATAATTTCTTAGGCTTCCTTATTGGTCGTCTAAAATGTAAAATCCAAGATTATATTCAATTGTTTTTTCATTACATTATCTCTTAAAGACAAATTAACTGTCATTTTCTAAAAGAAATCTGCCAACATAAATCAGTTAAACTTAACATATCATAATTCCTCACTTTTAATAACTAAAGGCTTTTAATTTTGGGTGAATTAGAGAATATCTTCAAGTTTTCTTTTTTAGAGCACACCTTTCAAATATAAAGTGCTACATGTTAGATAATAATTTTCTTCTTTCTTTTGAAATATAACTTGTTTCTGAATACAATTCTTGCCTAATTATTTTTTCTTTAAATTCTGTAGAATGTGTGTTTTTGTTAATATCAGTTTTACTTTTCACTTTTTTATATTGAAAAAATGATATTTTAGGAGAAAAGTTACTCCTAAGACATTTCCTCATTACCTTTTATAATTTTGTGAAGCAGAGAGTGTAATGGTGCTCCCTTTTTCCAATTTGATTCTCAGGTAATGCAATATTTTTGTATTTTCTAATATGTGGTCAGAATAAGTCACAAGATCTTTATTCATTAATTTTGACGGAAGTATTGTAAAACCTTTAGAGATATCTACTTTAAGATTATAAAAGTTTTGGAAAGTTTCCTTTTATTGTTTCTGACCCCAACCTCCATCGCCGTCCAGGTTTTGTTTCTGAAAAAACAATTACCTTTGTATTGGTTTTCTATTCTTTAACCTAACGGACATAATTTAGTCTCACCTGATGATTTTCTTACATTTATTTTGGAAAAGATTCTCTCCATTATATATTTTATCCTTTATGATTCCTGATTAGTGTATTGATTATGTGATAGTTTCTATCATTATCTATTTAATTTTTGTTTCTTTGAAGGACTTTTTATATTCCTTGTCTCCTTTCCCACACCATTTCATTGTTCTTTTTCTTTTCAATTTTCAGCTTAATGTGTTGCCTTTGCATTTTGGCCTGTCCTGATAGAGCTATTCTTTTTCACTCCTTTTCATATCTATCATGTTTCCCTTTGCACATTTGAAATGACAAAAATATTCCTTAGTTTGATTCCTGGATCTGGAATCAAAGTACTTTTAGAGATATATTATTTCTCAGACTCTCCCAAACACAAGATTTCCCCCCAGTTTTGCACAGCTGTTCAAATAAACTAAGACATAGCCAGATTCAGTGCTTTTAAGTCATTGAGTGGATCACAGGTTTCTGTTCTTCGGAAATTTTTGAGATACTTACTACCTGGTCTTTTACACTTCTAGGCACCAGGTCAATATACATACCTTCGAGTACAGATCTCTCTTTCTGGCTTACTTATTATTATTTTCATTAGTATAATTATTTAAGAAAAATTAACTTGATATCTACCCCATTAATACATTTTTAAGTATATAACACAGTACTGTTAACTATAGGCACAATGTTATATGCTGTGCACAAGTAAATCTTGATAACATATTCATCTTTGCATAACTAAAACTTTATTCCTATTGAACAGTAACTCCTCCTGCCCCAGCCCTGGGCAACTTCTATTCTATTCTCTGTTTCTCCGAGTTTGATTATTTTAGATACCTCACATAAGGGGAATCATGAAGTATTTGTCCTGTGGCTTGCTTAGCACAATGTCTTCCAGGTTCACCATGTTGCCCCATATGATGGGATTTTCCTCTAAGACTGAAGAGCATTCCATTGTATTTATAGACTGCATTTTCTTCATTCATTCATCCATCAATGGACATAGATGTTCTCTATATCTTGTAAATACTGCTGCAATAAACATAAGAGTATAGATACCTCTTTGAGATCCTGAATTCCATTTTTTTGATACATACCAACAAGTGGAACTTCTGGTTCATAAGGTAATTCTATTTTTAATTTTGTAAGGAACTTCCACACCGTTACTCTTCTCCATAGCAGCTGCACCATTTTACACTTCCATCAAGAGTTTACAGTTGTTCCAGTTTTTCCACATCCTCAACAACACTTGTTATTATTATTATTATTTTCATTTTGGTAATCACTATACTAACAGGTGTGAGATGGTTCCTCATTGTGGTTTCCACTTGCATTTCCTTGATTATTATTGAGCATCTTTTCATATACCCATTTGCCATTTGTGTGTCTTCAGTGAAGAACTGTCCACTCAAATCATTTGCTCATTTTAAATTGGGTTGTTTCTATGCTATTGAATTGTAAGTGTTTCTTATATATTTGGATATTAACCCCTTATCACATGTATGATTTTGAAATATTTTCTTCCATTCCCTAGGTTGTCTTTTCATTCTGTTGATTTTTCCTTTGCTCTGCAGAAGCTTTTTAGTTTCATATAGTTCCACTTGTCTATTTTTGCTTTTGTTGCTTGTGTTTCTGGTGTCATTACAAAAATTCATTGCCAAGACAAATGTCATAAAGCTTTTCCTTATTTTTTTATTCCAGGAGTTCTATAGTTTTAGGTATTATTTTTAAGTCTTTAATCTACTTTCCATTGATTTTTGTGTATGGTGCATGATAAAGATCTAATTTCATTCTTTTATGCATATAAAAGTTTTTCCAACACCATTTATTGAAGACACCATCTTTTCTTCATTGTGTATTCTTGGCATCCGATACTTAGTTTTTGAGAATTTTTATCATGAAGGGTGTTAAATTTTGTTAATATTTTTTATGCATCTATTGAGATGATCACATGATTTTTATATTTTATTCTATTAATGTGGTATATCATATTAACTGAATTAGGTATGCTGAAACATCCTTGCATCTCAGACATAAATCCCATTTGATCATACTGCGTGATCCTTTACTATGCTGTTGAAGTTGGTTTGCTGGTATTTTGTTGAGGACTATTTAATCTACGTTCGTCAAAGCTGTTGGTCTATAGTTTTATTTTCTTGTTGTGTCTTTGCCTTGCTTTGGTATTAGAAAAATCTGGCCTCAAAAAATGAGTTCAGTAGTGTTCACTCCACTTCAAATTTTTTGAACAGTTTGAGAAGGATTGGTATTAATTGTTGGCAGAATTCACCAATGAAGCCATCTGGTCCTGGATATTTATTTTTGGGGATATTGGATTACAGATTCAATCTCTTTACTTGTTATTGGTCTGTTCAGATTTTCTCTTTCTTCATAATTCAGTCTTAGTAGGTTGCATGTTTCCAGGAATTTATCCACAGTATCTGAAAATCTTTTCATTTTTGATATATTAATTGTAATATATTTCTTTTCATATCTAATTTTTCCTCTTTTTTCTTCATTAGTGTGGTAAAATTTATTAATTTTATCTTTCCAAAAAGCAACTTTTAGCTTTGTTTATTTTTTCTATTGCTCTTCTTTTTTTATTGTGTTGATTGCTAACATAATCTTTTTTATTTCCCTCCTTCTGCTAAGTTTGGTCTTAATTTATTCTTCCTTTTCCTAGTTTCTTGAGGTGTAAAGTTAGCCTATTTGATTTCTTCTTTGATCCATTTATTGTTCAAGAATATATTGTTTAATTCCTACAGACTTGTGAGGTTTTCTTTTATTTCTAGTTACAGTTCATTGTGTTGAGAAGAAATATTTGGTATTATTTAAAGTTCTTAAATTTGTTAAGATGTGTTCTGTGACCAAATATGTTATCTACTGTGGATAATTTTCTACATGGATTTGAGAAAAATGGGTATTCTGCTGTTTGGTGGTATATTTTGTATGTGTCTGTTGTGTCCATTTGGTCTATAATTTTCTTCAGGTTCACTGTTTCCTTATTGATGTTATGTCTGGATATTCTATCCATTATTAAGAGTGGAAATTAAAGACTCCTATTATTATTGTATTGCTGCCTATTTCTTCCTTTAGTTCTATAAATTTTTGCTTTGTATTTAGATGTTCTGATGTTGGGTGCATGCTTGTATGTGTATGAGTATAATTGATATATCTTCCTGAACAATTGACTGTTTTATCATTACATAGTGACCTACTTTGTCTTTTTTGACAGTGTTTTTCAAAGTTTATTTTGTCTCATATAAGTAAAGTCATCTCTGCTCTCTTTTGGTTACAACTTGCACAGAATGTGTTTTTCCATCCATTCACTTTCAGCCTGTAAGTGATCTTAAATCTAAAGTGAGTTTCCTTTACAAAGTTTAAAATCGAATCTTTCTTTTTCTTTCTTTTAATCCATTCAGAATTCAGCCACTCTAGTCTTTTGACTAGGGAGTCTAATCTATTTACATTTAAAATAATGATCACAAAGGATTAACATTTGTTACTTGTTTTCAATGTGTCTTGTAAGTTATTTAAAATAACTTAAGTTGATATATCATATCCAGTTTTCCTTTGATGTATGGTTAAGTTTTAGTTTAAGTGAAATTCATCACATAAATAATGGAGTTTATTTATTAAATGCACAGTTATTTTATTTCTTCTTATGAAACTCAAAATACTAGATGTTCAATAATTATGAAATATACCATTTATAATAAGAAGTCATATTTTGGGACTATAGCAAAGATATGTAACCCATTATGATCTCATAATTTACCTTGAGATTCCTAGTAGCAAAAGAGGAAAGAGAAATGCATTTGTATAAACAGGTCTTGTTATCAGTGGGAAGGAAACATATCATTAATTTAGGTTAAGCATTTTTTTTCTTGACTAAGTTTCTCCTATATGATTTCAATTAAAACCTTATTTTTATGGACCATTTGATAAAAATTCTTCCAAAAAGTAATATATTGTTGGTTTCTTACTGAATAAGTGCTGTAGTTTCAGTTGAGTTTAAATTTATATATAGATACAGAGGCAGATGTCTGTCTACCTACATACATAGATACACAATTAGAACAACTTTTAGCTTTTAAAATAAATATTGTATGCTACAAATAAATTACTTTGGAAAAATACAGATCATTTAGTTGACCCTATACACACTGGATTTCACTGCATATATTTGTTTTCAGGGTAAGTTTTAAAGGTTTAGAATTCTTAGAGCTCCTTTTATGTGCAATTCATGTCTTCAACCTTTATATATTCCTGCTTTTAAGAAATCAAGTCAACATAAACTGATCTTTTCTGAGCTGTTTTATTCTGGTATAAAGTTTAAATGAGAATAACTCAACATAAAGTTATGTGCAAAGAGCTGGTACCAGTCTTAAATTTTATATATATGCATATACACACATACATGCATACACACACACACACACACACACACACAGATACACACACACATATATCTCACACGCACACACATATGCATATATACACACAGTGATAACCAGGAGCTTTACAATTTTTGTTTAAATTCAGCTGAAATAAAGTATTTAGAAGGCCATTAATTATGCCAAAATAAAATGTAAGACAATAAATATCTATAAAGAGAAAAATAATCAAAATATTTTAAAAAAAGCTGGGAGAACTAATGAAAAATAGTGGTTTAAAATTGCTAGAAAAAAAATCAAAGGGGCAGTGTTTGAAAGCCTTGATTATTTTCCCCAAGAACAAGAGTTTTTCAAAAGCCACTGATCAAATAATGTCTGTGTTCACTATCATGAAACCATTTTCTATGATTTTTTGAAAAGAAGAAAAGATTTGAAAATTCTTACCAAATAAAATTGAAATCCATGATGAAATTTACGAAGATATTTTAGTAGAAATGTCCAACTGGAAAGATATTTGAAAGTAACAAGAATCAACTCTGTAAGAAAAAGTCATGGATAGTACTGCAATTTTTGCGGTTTATGATGAAATGGAAAGTGTTCTTGATGAATTAACATAGCTTAACAAATTTAACATCTATTAAACAGATATTTTAAAAGGATAATTTTGGCATGCCAGGTGCGGTGGCTCATACCTGTAATCCAGCACTTTGGGAGGCTGAAGCAGGTGGATTGCTTGACCCCAGGAGTTTAAGAACAGCCTGGGCAACATGGTGAAACTCCATCTTTCTAAAAAAAAAAAATACAAAAATTAGCCAGGCATGGTGGCTCATGCCTGTAGTCCCAGTCCCAGCTACTCGGGAGGTTGAGGTGGGAGGATCGCTTGAGCCCTGGAGATTGAGGTTACAGTGAGCCATGATCACACCACTGCACTCCAGCCTAGGCTGCCTCAAAAAAAAAAAAAAAAAAAAAGATAAATTTGCAAAAATTAACACTAGAAAATAAGAAAAGTAGTATTATTTCTGTAATAGACATATATGCATATTTGTATACCTTGTTTAGAAAATGTTAATGTTATTAAAGGGCATTAATGCATGACTCTTCTTTCCTGTGCTGTAATACTCATTTCTACATTTTATTCATTTTATGTATGTTTTATTTATGTGTTCTATCTGGCAATTATTTATTTCATAAATATGTGTGCAAATAACTTTGTCATATAAAAGAAGGTGTGATTAAAAGGGATCTCCTCCAGGTGTGAAATATTCTAAGAGTCCCACTACATTTTAAAACAATTGCATAGCTTTTCATACACACACACGTGCAGGCAGGATCCACATAACAGTATTACTGAGTTCCCTGATCCTTTTATGATCTTGAACTCTATAATGTCATTGCACAATATCAGTTCTTGTTTCCACTCTGGTGCTAGTTTGCATGACGCTTTCACATTGACTGAATATTTCATGTCATCTTGGGAAAAATCATATTTGTCTGAAAATGAATGAGAATATTTTCAGCCATGGACAAAGTGAAAGGATTCTATTGGTCTTAATCCACATGAAGGAAAGACAGAAAAGAATACAATTACATTTGGGTCAAGTAAAGAGGAACAAGAATAGTTACTCAGAAAAAAGGTACTGCAGAGTGCACGTGTGAAGATGTAAGGGAGCAAGGAAAAATTGATGAGGAACTGTAGGAATACAAGCAGCTTTTGCACTCTTTGACTTCTTTTAGTGAGCTATATGATTTATGAGAACAGAGATTATGCCTGTCTTTTCCCCCATATAATCTTCAGTGAATGTTCTATTGCTTGTCTGTATGTATTCAACATACAAACTTCTCTAGTGATCTACTCCTCCCCATATTCTAAACAAGTCTGGTCAGGTGTCCTGTTCACCCTGTTCCCGCAGCCTCAGCATCTGGGGAGTGCACACATGCACCAAAGCAAGTTGGCTAGAGTCTCACTCTGAGGATCAGACCACTGACACTCATTTTAGGATATTGCATTCCCCAAAAGTCTCTCCTACTTAATTTTCTAGCTCCTATCTTTTCTGGTACTGTTATTTTAATCTGTGAAATGTTCATAATGTTTCAGATCTTTTTTCCTTTTTTAAAATGAATGTCGCAGTGTTGATTTCTATTGCTTATAAATTGAAGACTGCGGTTATTATACACATCAACTAGCCCAGTGCCTGAAACATGGGATATACTCACTAACTATTTTGTGGATGAATCAATGAATGAATGTCTTAGTTAGAACTGCTATAACAAAAACATCATAGCTATGTGGCTTAAAGAAAGAAATGTATTTCTCAAAACTCTGAAGTCTGAGAAGTTTACAGTCAAGATGTACCTCAGTTTGGTTTCTGGTGAGGACCTTTAGAAAAAGAGAGAGAGAGACAGAGAGACAGACAGAGAGAGAGAGAAAGCTTGTCTTTTTTTTTTTTTTTTAAGTAAGGAGATTAATCCCATCATTGTGTCTCCATTCTCTTGACCTCAGCTAAATCTAATTATCCAAAGGTTCCCCCTCCTAATACCGCCTACTAACATCCCACTGAAAGTTACAGTTTCAACGTATGAATTTGAGGAAAACAAAAATGTACAGCCAATAGTGATGAATAAACAATGACCTTTATCTTCTCAGTTAGCATACTGTCCTGGGAAAGACCGTGACTGCTAACAAACTTAATTGTGAAAACTCAAACTACTCTGTATCATGTCCAAGGGGAAGAGAGTTTCTGGTACAAAAACCAGTATTAAATTTCTGTCTGCATGGACCTAACATGAACAAAATAACATGAAATAATCACTAGATGGATGCTTATAATTAGGATGTAAGAAAGATCTTACATAAATGAATTCAATCTAGCAGCAGTATACACAACTATCCATAATTATTTTCCATATCAAGCTCACTAAGAACACTGAGTTTATTTTATGCCAAGACATTTCCAGTTACTATTGTGAGCTGCGTAGAAGTCCTGGTTATGTGGAAATATGTTGCGAGCTCAGCACCACCTCCTTTTCCAATATGCTGTTTTGTAATTTTCAGGGAAGTTGCAGCATTTTGTACCTGGAACTATGACAGCAGCATTATAGTCCACATTGTATACCCCTTATGTTCTTTAAAGGGCTTGTTCTATCCAAATTACTCTCGACTTGATTATTAGCAATATTGCCGAGGTGAAATAAATATCACTTCCCTTATAAATGAATGCTCCTCCAATAAAAGCATGTTTTAATATGCTTAATAGTCAATGAAAATATCTGAAGAATTTTTATTTCATGGCCCTTTTGAGAAAATGTATTTAAAATTCGCATTTTATTGTTTCTTCAAGTAATGACCCCATTTTGACATCACAGCAATATATCTGTGAAGAATATACGTATTCACTGTTCAATGACTGTGTGACAAAAAGCATAAATACGAGCTTATCTTAGTGCAGCAATTAGCATAAATATGGTTCACTAGTATGCATTGGGGGAAAAATAAACATATAAAGAAGTAAATTTACATTGATTGACTCAGAGGTACCTCTTGTGTTAACAATTTAAAAGCGTTTCCTGTCTAATTCAAAGTCTCAGAATGTGGTTGGGGGAAATTCAATTAATGTAATATACATGGCATTTTAGTTTCATTTCAAAGTGTCAATACATATTATCAAACTGCCACTAAAAGAATCAGTATCATATTTTTATAATGTTCTTTGGTAGTAGATTCTGAAAAGTTTTAATATTACTGAATCTTTAGCCATTAAATTCCTGTTCCCAAATTATGGCTTGGAAAAAATGAAAAAAAAAAAAAAACAGATAAAAAATAAAAGCTAGTGCAAATTCATGCAGATTAGTGAAATTTTGTGCTTTGGTGCAAGTCAAGAAACCCAAGAGATTATAAGCAAATATTTACCTCTGTTGAATAAAATGTGAGCCAAAGATTAGGCTCTGCCAAAGATTAGAGACAAAGAAGCATTTTGCAGACAATTTGCATGCATTCATTCCATCTGCAAATTTGGTGGTTGGAAATGAAACAAGTGGACATTAACAAGACTTGATTGTATATTTTATCTGGAATGGGCAAAGCCCTGACAATGCGTCTTACCTCTGACTAAAGAGCATTATCTCCAAAAGTATTACAGCAGTTCTCTTCTTCCTCTCCCCTTTCTTCCTACCTTACTTCATTTTCTGTCTATTCTTCTTTCTTCTCTCTTGCAATTCTTCACCCCGCCCCATCCCCCCCACCATGAGAATTTGTGTTAGAGAATAGAGTAGGCTACTCTGGAATATGTTCACTATGAAGTCTCAGCAGATTAACTGAGTAGTTTTTTGTTTGTTTGTTTGTTTGGTGTTTTGATTTGCTTTCCTTGCTTTTTTTACATGATTGATGTCGTCTAAGGCTTTACTCAGTCCTTGGGATTTTACTTATACCAAAAGAGGTACCACCATCCTGAACTTTGCTAATTCTTACAGAAAGGCCAGAACAGAAGGGAGGGCAGAGTATCAGCTCTTAAATGCCAGGAAAGTTCAGAAACAACACACATCACCTCCACTTATATAATGTTGTCCACTGTTAACAATCTTACTAAGCATTTTGTGTGCCTTATGGTATGAAGTTTCTAACGTCAGTCCCATGTGGCTATTTTACGTTATATATTTTGTTACATTTTAATTAAATTCCAATTATATTGCATAGACACTGGAAAATGTGATGCATGATATCAGATTTTTAGATTTGTTGAGACTGTTTTATGTCCTTGTACGTGGTCAGAACTTATAACAATTTTAAGTCCTTAAAATCCACGTGCAATTTTGAATCATTGGCAAAGAGTTCCATTGAAGTCCTTGAAGATCAAGCTTGATGATTGTTTTATTTGATTTTTTTTTTTTTTACTGAGAAAGGTGAGTTATCATCTTTCACTTGAACTAAAAGTGCCCCATCTTCCACTCTGACTGAAAATGAATAATTGCCTTTCACTTTAATTCCAAATAATACTATTTAGCACATTGACCAAGACCACTATAAAATTAAACATTAACATGCACTAATCTTAAATTCCTTGATGATGGAAGTATTTTCTTAAATTTATAAGTGAGAAAAACTTAGTCTCTGTAAGGTAAATGTGTTGTATAATTTGAAGGTAGGTCTATTTGACTCTAAACCTCTGTACTAACAATAAATATAAAGTAATAAATCAGAAAATATATTTATTAAATTTCTCTGAAACTTCCAACTTAGAGTAAAATTAATACTGGTTTTTATTTAGCAACCCTTTAATATATGTCCCAATTTGAGTATGCATATTTCCCTTAGCCAATTTAACTTCAAGGTTTATTTCTTTTTAATTCAGTAATAAACATGATTAAATTTACCATACTATATGGATTGTCATAAAACATGCAATCTAGTCAAATTAGCATGACAAGGATGAAAAAGAGACTAGTAAATAAAATCAAAATATACCATAATATTTTATCATGTTCTAAATATTACATGATGCAAGCGTATTAGCACAAGGATTTAATATTTCAACATCACTGTCATATACTATATTTCTTTGTATTTCTTCATTGAATCTAGGACAGAAATAAAATCGCATAATCTGAAAGCATTTTAATTATGGAAAACTAAAGGTTACTAATAAATTCAAATGATTTCTGTATTTCTGGCAACTTGTTAACAGGGAAATAAATTTGCAAAGGGTTATGATTACATAATTTATGACAATTCAATATTATTTAGGAAATAGATCTTTCCTTATCTACACACAAACACACACATACATTACACACATGTACACACACACTTACATTTTTAATGTTTAAACTTCTGTAATGAAATGTTTTTTTCTTTAGATGATTTATATCTGGTACAGTTAGATTTCATCAAAATCATTTTGCTCCTAATTTCACATATCTTTAAAAATGCATGCTTTGAAACAGTAAAGTCTAAAAATTATGAAATTACTTTTGTTATAAATAAGTAATATGGAAGCCTAGCCAAAATGATCAATCAGGAGAAAGAAATAAAAGGCACCTAAATAAGAAAAGAAGAAGTAAAACTATCTATCTTCACTGATGATGTGATTCTATACATAGAAAACCCTACAGATTCTGCCAAAAGACTGCTAGAACTAATAAACAATTTTAGTAAGGTTTCAGGATACAAAATCAATGTACAAAAATCAGTCACATTTCTATACACCAATAATGTCCAGACTGAGAGTCTAATCAAGATCAAAATGCCATTTACAATAGACACAAACAGAATAAAATAACTAGGGATGCATTTCACCAAAGAGGTGAAAGATCTCTACAAGGAGAGGTACAAAGCACTACTGAAAAAAATCAAAGATAAATAAGTGGAAAAACATTCTGCACTTATGAATTGGAAGAATTAATATCATTGAAATGTCCATACTGCCCAAAGCAATTTACAGGTTCAACACTCTTTTCTATTAAACTACCAACACTATTCGTTGCAGCATTAGAAAGAAAAAACTATTCTAAAATTCACATGGAATCAAAAAAGAGCCCAAATAGCCAGAGCAATCCTAAACAGAAAAAACAAAGCTGGAGGTATCACACTACTCAACCTCAAACTATACTATAAGGCTTTAGCAACCAAAACAGCATGGTATTGATACAAAACCAGATACTAGACCAGTGGAACAGACTGGGAAACAAATAAAGCCATACACTTAAAACCATCTGATCTTCAACAAGGCTGACAAAAACAAACAATGGGAAAATGACTCCCCATTCAATAAACGGCACTGAGATAATTGGCTAACCATATGCAGAAGAATGAAACTGGATGCTTACCTTTCACTATATACAAAAATTAACCTTAAATGAATTAAATATGAATTATAAAACCTCAAATTATAAAAACCCTAAAATAAAACCTAGGAAATGCCATTCTGGACATTGATCTTGGCAAATAATTTATGTCTTAGTCCTCAGAAGCAATTGCAAAAACAAACAAAAAAAAATTGACAAGTGGGACATAAGAAAACAAAGGATCTTCTGCCCAGCAAATGAAACTATTAACACAGAACACAGACAGTATACATAATGGGAGGAAATATTTGCAAACTATGCATCCAACAAAGGTCTAATATCCAAAATCTATAAGGGACTTAAATCAGCAAGCAAAAAACAATTAATTCAATTTTTGAAAAAGGGAGAAAGCATGAACAGACACTTCTCAAAAGAAAACATGAATACAGATGAAAAATATATTAAAAATGCTCATCATCACTAATCATGAGAGAAATGCAAATAAAAACCACAATGAGATATCATGTCACAACAGGCAGAATGGCCATTACTAAAAACTCAAAAAACAACAGATGCTAGTGAGGTTGTGGAGGAAAGTCACAACTGTCAGTGGGAATGTAAATTAGTTCAGCCACTGTGGAAAGCCATGTGAAGATTTCTTAATCTTAAAACACGACTACCATTTGATTCAGCAATCCCACTATTGGGTATACACCCAAAAGAAAATAGATCATTCTACCAAAATGACACATGTACTCGTATATTTATTACAGCACTATTCACAAAAGCAAATACATGGAATCAACCAAGATGCCCATCAGAAGGGACGAGATGAAGAAACTATGTTACATACATACCATGGAATATGCACAGTCATAAAAATGGATGAAATCATGCCCTTTGCGGGAGCATGGATGCAGCTGGAGGCCATTATCCTAAGAAAACTAATGCAGAAACTGAAAATCTAATATCTCTCATTTTCACTTCTAAGCTAAAGCTAAACAATGAATACACATAAACACAAATATGGGAACAATAAACACTGGGGAATTCTTGAGGAGAAAATGAAGAAGAAGGGTGTGAGCTGGGAGACTATCTATTGGGTACTATGCTCACTAGCTTTGTAATGGGCTCACACATACACCAAGCATGAGTGACACCCAATTTACCCATATAGAAAACCTCTGTTTGTGACCCCTGAACCTAATATAAAAGTAGAAAAAAAATACACAAGGGGATAAAAAAGCAACTTTTAATTTGTTGATCCTTTGTATTTTTGTTTAGTTTTGCTCTGATCTTTATTATTTCTTTCTTAATTTGGGGTTTTGTTAATTTCTTTGCCTTTTTAATTTGTACTTATTGGCTGTATGCTCAAGGCTCAACTTTGTACTTATTGGCTGTATGCTCTAAGCCTGAGTGTCTGGGACCAGGTCCTCAAGTTTGTCATCTGGTCCCTTTGCCTTTTTTTCTTTTTCTTTTCTTTTTTTTTTTTTTTTCTTTTTGAGACAGAGTCTTGCTCTGTTGCCCAGGCTGGAGTGCAGTGGCATGACCTTGGCTCACTGCAACCTCCACCTCCTGGGTTCAAGCAATTCTCTTGCCTCAGCCTCCTGAGTAGCTGGGACTACAGACACGTGCCACCATGCCCAGCTAATTTTTTGTATTTTTATAGAGATGGGTTTTCACTGTGTTAGCCAGGATGGTCTCAATCTCCTGACCTTGTGATCTGCCTGCCTCGGCCTCCCAAAATGCTGGGATTATAGGTGTGAGCCACCGCTCCCAGCCAATTCTTTCTTTTTAAGTTCCTTAAGGTGCATCATTAGATTGTTTATTTGAAATATTTTTACTTTTTTGATGTAGCCACTTATTGTTATCAATTTTCCTTCTAGCACTATTTTTGCTGTATTCCCAAGGTTTTGGTTTGTTTTATCCCCAGTTTCATTTTTTTTTCAATTTTTAAAATATTTAATCTTAAATATTTCCTTGATGCAATGGTAATTGAGAACCATGTCATTTTATTTTCGTGTACTTGTATTGTTTCTGTGTTCCTCTTGTTAGTGATTTATAGTTTTATTTCATTTTGGTCTGAGAGATACTTGATATTATTTTAGCTAAAAAAATTGCTGAGACTTGTTTTGTGTCCTAACATATAGTCTCTCCTGGAGAATGTTTTGTGTATTGATCAGAAGAATGTATATTCTGTAACTATTGAATAAAATGTTCTGTAAATATTTTAGGTTCATTTGTTTTAAAGTGCAGTTTAAAATTTTTGTGTCTTAATGATAAATCTAATGCTAAGAGTGGGATGTTGAAGTCTGCAATATTATTGTATTGGAGTCTACTATCTCTCCCTTTACACCTAATTATATTTGCTTTATATATCTGCTTGCTCTGGTGTTGTGTGCATATATGTTTAGAATTGTTATATCCTCTTGTTGAATTGATCCATTTATCATTACATAACGGCCTTCTTCGCCTTTTTTAAACTGTTTTATATTTTAAAAGACATAAACTTTTGTATTTATAATCTTTATTTCCCCTAAGGGTTTGAGGGTGGCACAAGTTGGGTATAGTTGAATGGTTTTATTTCTGGGTGTTTTCAGAGGCCCAAGGCTCAACTTTATACTTATTGGCTGTATGCTCTAATCCTAGGTGTCTGGGACTGGGTGCTCAAGTTTGTCCTCTGGTCCCTTGAAGCTGAGCTCTGGTTGGAGGGGCTGAGTTGCTCCAGGACCACTGGCAATAGCATTCCATAGTGGATGATGGGGATGAGGGGGAGCTATGGGCATAAGTGCTCTGGTGGGAGTGGCAGGGGCATAATGGGCAAACATGTTTCAGAGGGAAGCTGTCAATAAAAGTGCTCCAGGGGAGCAATGGAGGCCTCAGGTGAAAGCACCATGGCAGTAGCTGCTGGCAAAAGTTCTCTGGCAGCATAACTGAGGCTTCACTGTGTGCAGGCATGACCAGGTTGGAACTCTGGGGGGCACTGGTGGACATCAGGGTGTGCAGATTAGACTCCAGTACCACAGGAACGACAGCCTTGCTCTCCCTGGATCTGACAGACTACACAGGTCAGAGCTACTAATTCCTTAGGAACCATTCAGGGCCATGAATGTGTCCCAACACTCAGCAAACTCAGCTTCCTCCCTTCAGTCCTGGCATCTGGGTTGTCTCTCTACCCTCTGTCAATGTGTTCTCTCAGATGACATTGTTCAGAGTATGCTGGTATACTCAATATTCCAGTCTGTCTCATTAAGAGTTCCTGGCTGCATCTAGTCAGCCACCTTGTCTCCTGGTGGTTTTTTGAAAAGAGAAACAAAATCAACTTATCACTAGACAAACTAATCAAGAATAAAAAGGAGAATGCCACAAAAAATAAAATGAGAAATTAAAAAGGAGATACCACAACAGATACCACAGAAATGCAAAAGATCATTAGAGACTATTATGAATAACTATACAGCAACAAATTGGAAAACCTAGAGAAAAATGAATAACTGGACACATGCAACCTACCAAAATTGAATCAGGAAGAAATATAAAATCTGAACGGACTAATAATGAATAATGATATTGTATCAGTAATAAAAAGTCTCCTATTCAAGAAAAGTTTGGGACTGAATGGTTTACTGCTAATCCTAGCCAACTTACAAAGAGAAACTATACTAATTGTCCTCAAAATATTACAAACAATTGAATAGGAGGAAATTCTCCACACCTCATTTTACAAACCAGCATTATTCTGATACCAAAACCAGACAAGGATACAACCAAAAAAGAAAACTACAGCCAATATCCTTGATGAACATAGATGCAAAATCTTCAACAAAATACTGGCAAATCAAATCCAACAGCACATAAAATGGTAATATACCATGATCAGTTGGGATGTACCCCAGGGATGCAAAGATGGTTCAACATATGTAAAGCAATAAATATAATACATAACATTAACAGAATGAATAACAGAAACTTTGTGATTATCTGAATAGACATAGAAAGGACATTTGATAAAATTTGACATCCCTTTATGAGAAAACTCTCAACAAACTAGGCACATATGGAATATACCTCAACATAATAAAGGCTATATGAAACAAACCCACAGCTGACATCATCATAAATGAAGAAGAGTTCAAAGCCTTTCCTCTAAGAACTGGAACAAGACAATAGTGCTCACTTAGACTTCTGTTCAACAAAATATTGGAAGTCGTACCCAAAGCCATCAGGAAGAGAAAGAGAAAAAACAAAGGAATCCAAATTGAAATAATGAAACTCAAATTGTCTCTCTTTGCAGGTGACATGAACTTATATAAAGATATCTCTAAATTCTTTATCAAGAAATTCTTAGATCTGATAAATAAATTCAGTGAAGTTGCAGAATACACATTCAAAAATAACACAACACATAAAAATAAGTAGCATGTATAAGTGCCAATAATGAATTTGCTGACAAAAAAAATCAAGAAGACAATTTCATTTTCAGTAGCTACCAAACAAACAAACAAAAATCAACCACACATATACATAAAACCACCTAGGAATATATTTAACCAAGGAGTTAAAAGATTTCTGCAAAGAAAATTACAAAACTCTGATGAAAGAAATTGAAGAGAACACAAAGAAGTGGAAAGACATCTCATGCTCATGAATTGGTAGAATTAATATTGTTAATATGACCATATAACCCAAAGCAATCTGTAGATTCAATGCAATGCCTATCAAAATGCCAATGTATTTTTTCACAGGCATAGAAAGAATAATTCTATAATTTGCGTGCAACAACAACAGAAAAGTCCCAATAGTCAAAGTAATATTTATCAAACAGAACAAGTACGGTGCTATCACACTCACTGACTTCAAGACATATAAAAAGACTATAATAGCCAAAACAGCATGATGTTTGTATAAAATCAGACACACAGGCCAATGGAACAAAATAGAGAACACAGAAATAAATCCATATATTTACAGCAAACTGATTTTTGATAAAGTCACTAAGAACATCCATTGAGGAAAGGACAGTCTCTCTAATAAATGGTGCTGGAAAAATTAGATATCCATCTGCAGAAGAATGAGGATATCCAAATTTCTCCCCATATAAAAATATCCACTCAAGATAGTGGATAGTGGATAGTGGTCTTAAACGTAAGACCCATACTGTAAAACTACTAAAAGAAAACATAGGAAAAACACATCAGGGCATTGGTCTAAGCAAATAATTTATGGCTAAGACCAAGAAAGGAAAGGCAACTAAACAAAAAATAGACACGTGGGATTATTTTAAACTAAAATGCTTCTGTATAGCAAAGGAAAGATTCAACAGAGTGAAGAAACAACCTCCTGAATGGAAGAAAATATTTACAAACTATTCACCTGACATGTAAGTAATATCTAAAATATATAAGGACCCCAAACATATAAAAGTAATATATAATCAGTGTGATGGATACACTAAATACCCTGACTTCATCATTACACATTCTATGGCAGTAACAAAATATTACATGTACCCCATAAATATGTACAAATATATTCATCAATAATAAAATAAAATGAAGAAATCACAAGGGAAATTATAAAATACCTTAATACATATGAAAATAAAACCATGACATATCAAAACATGTCAAAGGCAGTGCTCAGAGGGTAATGCATAGCTGTAAATGCCTAAATTTTAAAAAAAATGAAAGATCTCAAATTATTAACCCAACTTTACATCTTAAAGAGGTATAAAAACAAGAGTGATATGAAATGAAAACTAGCAGAAGGTAAGAAATAATGAAGATAAGAGCAGATAGCAATGAAATAGAGGATAGAAAAACAACAGAAAAATTCAATGAAACCAAAAGTTCTTTGAAAAGGTCAGTTACTTTGACAAACCTTTAGTTAGGCTAACAAAGTAAAAAAAAAAGGGAGAAGATTCAAATAACTAAAATCAGAAATTAAAATGGTGATAATACTAATGCCCTTAAAGCAATAAAATTCATTGTAAGAGAATATTATGAACAACTACAAACCAACAAGTTAGATAACCTAGATGAAATCACAGAAATTCCTGGAAACATGTAATTTGTTTAAACTGACCAAAGATGAAATAGAAAATCCCAGAATACCTATAACAAGTAAAGAGATAAATCAGTTATTAAAACCTCTTAAAACAGAAATATTTGGATCTAAATGGCTACACTGGTGTATTCTACAAACACTTAAAGAAAAATCAACACCATTATTCTCAAAGTCTTCCAAAAAACTGAAGAGGAAGGAAGGCCTTATAATTTATACTATCAGGCCAGTGTTACCTTGACACCAAAACCAGATAAAGACATTACAAAAAAGGAAAATTACAGTTTATTAGTCTCTATGGATATATCTAAAACACCTTCAATAAAATATTTACAAATCAAATTTAATTTTAAATTAAAAGATTTATATACCATGGCCAGCTGGGACTAATCCTCGGAATGCAAGGGTAGGTCAGCATAAGAAAATAATTAGATGTAATACATCACATTAGTAGATGAAGAAATAAAAACTATATGATCATCTTAATTGATTAAGAAAAGACATTTGACAAAATCCAATACCCTTTTCATGATAGAAACACATATAAATCTAGGAAAATAAGAGAAATTCCTCAATATGATAGAGAGCTTTTATAGAAAACCCACAGCTAATATGCTTAATGATGAAAGATTAAAAGTTTTTTCACAAAGATTAGGAACAAAATAAGGATGTTTATTTTCATTACTGTGATTCAAGACCTGTTTAAATACATTGATGATGTTTACAAGGAAATTGTGAATTCAATATGGAAATGATTTTGTATCTTGGACCTTAAGTATTGATGCTACTCTGATTTTAATGGATGTAGAATAAAATAAAGAGACAGATAAATGGCCTCGTGTTATCTTGTTCTACATCCATTCGCAAAATAACTGATTGCAATAAATGGCTTTGAGCATAAAGTTAAAACATGTCTGCAATCTGGCACAACCTTCCTGGCTTTCTTTATCTTTTTCCTCGTGGGGCCAACTAATTGAATAGCTTTTTCTCTCAGTTATGTAGTTAGGCTCATAGTTGTATTTGTAAAGCATGCTTTTAGTAGGGCAAAGGCACAGCTTTGTAAATGGTTATCTATGTATCATACATATTGAATTCTCAAAAATGTCAGAAATAAGTGAAGTGCCCACTATAAATATACCAACATAAATATATTTATACCCATGGCCTTATATACGGGTTTGTTAAATGAAAATAAAAGATTTTTTAGAACAAAACTTGGACGTGCAATAAGAATAAATTAAGCTGTCAATTTCCTGGATTGTGTATTAATTATGGCTTTATTCATCTATTTATTCATTCCTTCAATAACTCATCTCTCAGTCAATTATGTATGTTGCTTTTTTTTCACTGTCTACCAAAGACTGTGCTTAACTGTGAAAAACATAGATATAACCACTTGCCTTAGAATTTTCAGTCTAATTAGTCACTATGTTTAACCTCATTCGTCAATCTTTTTATTAAATTATAAAAGAATGTCTAAGATATTAACTGTCAAGGAACTATAATGTAACATATGTCCTTTCAATATCTAGGATGAAGTCAATACAAAGTACTTAAGAAAGCTCAGCTATGTTGTAAATATTATGTCAAACTTTTTATGTGTAATCATTTAATTCTCACAACAGACTTACAAGATTTTACTGATCCTTTTAAACTACACTTATTTGCCATTTGCTAATAAAATGAACCCATTGCTATTACAGAGAAAGGGAATTGAAAAAAAAATCTCCCCTCTACTTCAGAACCTGATCTTCCTAAGCCAAAACCAGGTCCAATTTCATATCTAAATGAATTCTGAAGCTATCACTTGAGCCACTATTGAGTCCTGCATTTTTCTCATAACCATATTCAACTATTGGCATAGCATGACCCCTTTTAACCCTTAAGTATCATTATCTTAAATATCTAGGCAATGTGATTTACTCACCAGTAGAATTTCAACTTCAGTAGTTGAGGACCTCGTCATACCCTTCATGGACAATGGCAGTATATTTCTAACTATACCAATGAATGACCTTTAAGAGGTGCAAGTAAGAACCTGTCTATATTCAATTAAAAATTCTTCACTAATTCCTTATTACCTTCACGATGGAATCTCACTCCATAGGATGCCATTTACTTGTTGTTACAATCTAGATCCTGCCCAGCTTGTCATATTCATGTCTTACCACTCTCCTGCCTGAACTTTATATTACTAAAATATGAATTCCCTATGGTGTACACTTTCACTCAAGCTTCTAATATCTTTGAACAGGACATTTTTATTCCTGAACTGTCTTATCCCTTTTTTCCCCCACGATCCTTTAAGATTCTATTCATGCTACTTCTCAAAAGAACCTTCTTTGAACAACTCTCTGTCCCCATTCCACACCAGTATGGGTTAAGTAAACTTTCCATCTTCTTCTAATCGAAGTCTATGATCATATTTACCACAGGATTTATTGCACAGTATAATTTTTGACTTGCTTGTTGGGGGATTAATTTATAACTGGCAGCCTGAGACAGTGGTGGAATCAGGATTTTCAAAATTTGACATCCAAACGGGTGATTTTTTTCTATTGTAGACTACCTTCGAAGATGCTAATTAAATATGCACATAATATAATTTATGGCGGCTGCAACAATGATCAGCGAATCATTTTGCCTTTTTAGCAGAAAGTTGATTCCCTGACCTAACAAAACAGAATGCAGTTAAACCATAGGACAATTTTCACATTATAGTAGTTAAGAGAAGTAGTCACCATCTTTATTAGCTTTAATGGGGAGCATTTTATTGAGTTAGGTCCAGAAAAGTTGATTTAGATTGGTGAGGGAATTCTATGGCCATATTAACACATTCCTCAGTATAATATAAAGCCTAAGGTTTTCTAGACAGATGTCTTCTGAAAACAATAAGAATTTCATTTAGTTTTGTTAGTTCTAAGTAGCAAAATACAGACTTGGCTGGTTCAAGCACTAAATAAATTCCTTAAATGATACTGATAGTTCTCAAAATTGTAGGAAAGGCTGTCTCCTAAAATCGCTCCTCTACTTCAGAACCAGATTTTCCTAAGCCAAAACCTGATCCAAATTCAGATCTGAATAAATTTTAAAACTATCACTTGAGTCATAATTGAATCCTTCACTTTCCTCATGTGTCCCAGACTTAAGATTATATAGTTAGTACCTCAGCCCACATCATATACCTTCCTGGTATGTGGTGGCACTTGATATGATAATGTGCCTTATCAACACTGCTGAAGATTGGGTGCCACCATAAACCGTTTTCTGCCATTCAGCTTTCCTAGATCCTGTCTCAAGTTCTGGCCAAATGGCACTGAACAGTTGAGTCTAGGTTTCAGACTTCTGTTCTAACTGCAATGAAACCAGAAGAAATGAGGATCTAGAGTTTTCAGCTTTAATTTTGGGAGGTGAACTCTGTCTCCACTGAGATTCATATTTAAAATTTTACAAACACAAAGTGAAATTTGAGTTGTTGAGTGGTCTAAAATAAAAAATATCTACTACATATTTTTTCTATGTAGTGAAGGGACAAAACAAATCAGTCAATCTATTATTCACTAAAATGTATTTATATACCAACCCTCGTGATATAAAATTTAGGCTCTTTATCACTTTATTCCTAAAGAACTCTACAATGTGGGCAGTATTATATTCACTATAACCATTTTATAGATGAAGATTCTGAGACTCGACTACATTAAGTTTGTCCAAAACCATAATACTTGTAAGTGATCGAGGCTGGTATTTATTTCACCAGAACTAGTGTTTGGTCCACTATATTACTTGTTCCCTGAAGCAGTAGATTTCTCAGAAATATAACCAGTATTTGAATTATTTCTTTCATGATTTGAAAGGCAAAAGACTAGTCATAATAAAACAAAATTTTGGGGACAGGGGAATAACATAGCTCTGATGATGTGTGCTGTCACCTGTGTTTTGAAGGCAACATTAGCCACATATACAAAATAATTTTCTCAAAGAAGATATAAGTAAGCTGTTGTTGAAGTAAAAAGAGAAAGAAATTTAGTGGTAACACTTGAACTTAACTCTATTTCTCTCTTGATTATATTATGAACTATAATACTATTTACATTTTAAAATTATTTTTAATTAATATATAATATTTTTACATACTTAGGGGTCCATGTGATATTTGATACATACATACAATGTGTAATAATCAAATCAGGGTGTTTAGAATATCCATCACCTCAAGAACTTATCATTTATTTGTGCTGGGATATTTCAAATGTTCTCTTTTGGCTATTTTTAAATGTACAATGTATTATTGTTAACTATAGTCACCTTACTGTGCTATTGATCACTATAACTTATTCCTTTTATCTAACTGTATGTTTGTACCCATTAACAAACATCTTTTCATCCCCCCACCACAATACCCTTCCCAACCTCTGGTATGTGTTTATATATTTACATGAAATGAGAATTACTCTATCCTTTTTGCAAGGAGTTTTGTGGCAAATACTTGAAAATGTCTTTCTCATTATTCCACTCTTTCCAAGTCAGCTCTCTTTCCTTGCTTTTTTCCTTATGAAGAAAAATACCTGCTTTCTAACAAAATCAGAGAAGAGTATAAAACAATTATATACTTTTTTCTCTCTCTAATAACATATAGCATTGTGTTTCTATTAAACATAACAAAAGGTAGATGAAATAGGTATTAGTTGCTCTTACCAAAAATCTTGGAGTCACTCTACGCTGATGTTTTCCTCTCACCTTGACCATCCAGTCTATTACAAATCTTGCCACATTTTCCTTCAGAGTATATCCAGATTTTGACCACTTGTCATTACTCCATCTGTCATCAATCTGGTTCAAACTCACCATCGCCTGCCTGAATTATTCTATGAGCTCCTTCCATGGCTTCTCCATTTCTTTCTCTGTACATGCTGAACACAGCAGTGAGAATAATGCCAATAAACCATAAAAAATATTGTGCCACTTATCTGCTAAAAACCCTTTAATGGCTTTTCATCTCACCTAGAATAAAAGACAAAATCTTTTCTCTGACAAAAGAAGTCTTATCGCTTCAGCTACCCTGATATCTATGACCTTTTCTGCTATGGAAGCTGCTCACATAGTTCCTTCCAGCTCTGCTGGTCATCTTGCTCCAGCGCAGCACCCTCTCAACTCAGGGCCTTGGTGCTTGCTTACTCCTCTTCTCCAGAGTCCTCTTCCCCAAAGATATTCTTGCCTGGCTCCTTCATTTATTTCAGTGCCTTACTCAAAAGTTACTGTATGAGTCAGGGTTCTCTAAAGGGACAGAACTAATAGGATATATGTATATATGAAAAGGAGTTTATTAGGAAAATTGACTCACACGATCACAAAGTGAAGTCCCGCAATAGACTGTCTGCAAGCTGAGAAGCGAGGAAGCCAGTCAGAGTCCCCAAACCTCAAAAGTAGTGCAGCCTTCAGTCTGTGGCCAAAGGCCCGAGAGCCCCTGGCAAACCACTGGTGTAAGTCCAAGAGTCCAAAAGCTGAAAAACTTGGAGTCTGATGTTCTAGGGCAGGAAGCATCCAGCATGGGAGAAAGATGAAGGCCCAAACACTCAACAAGTCTGCTCTTCCATCTTCTCTTATCTGCTTTATTCTAGTCGCACTAGCAGCTGATTAGTTGGTGCCCACCCAGTTTGAGGGTGGGTCTGTCTCTCCCAGTCCACTGACTCGAATGTTAATCTCCTTTGGCAGAACCCTCACAGATACACCCAAGAACAGTACTTCATATCCTTCAATCCAATCAAGTTGACACTCAATATTAACCATCACAGTTACCTTCTGAGAAAAAAAGAGTCCTTGCAATTTTTTTAAAATTAATTCTTAGTAGGGTTGCTAGATTTAGGAAATAAAAAAAGGATGCCAAATTAAATTTTAATCTCAGATAAACAATGAATAATATATTAGTATGTCATGATACTCTGTGGGAAATATTGCATCAGGCACACACTTTTAAAAGATGATTTATCTAAAACTTAAATTTAATTGTCATTGTGTATTTTATTTAGTTTCTACCCTCAAATTTAATATTGCCTTTCCCTATTTTGTGTGTTTTCCTCTTATTCCTTATCACTAATACACTATATATTTTTATATATTAATTATGGTTTGTCTTCTGTCTAAAATGGAAGCTCTTTAATAACAGAATTTTAACTGCTGTCTTAACAGTATCCTCAGTGTCTCTAGCAGTGCCTGTTCATGGTAGACATGACAAGTATTTTTAGAATGAATGAATGAATGTTCAAATGATTAAATTAACATAACAGAGTGCCTTTTCTCTGTGCAAGTCACTAAAGTGTTTAACATATATTATCAAATTTCATTCTTGCCACTGTCTTTTGAAATAGCAACTATCAAATTCCCATTTCTAAACTTAGGATCCTGAGTTTCAGAGAGGATAGTATTATTTTTTATTTCCCTTCAAATTTTAATGTTAAAGCTTAGATTTAAAACACATTATGTTTCATACTAGATTCCATATTTTGTTTTACAATTTAATATGAAAATTAAGCATTTCAAAATATGTATATAACTGACTTGAAATAATTTAGTCTTTTTTCTTTTGAGGTAGGTAATAAAAGACTTCATGGTATTTTCTTAAATACTTTGTGATATTTTGAGAACATCGTCTGATAATGATGTCTAATAAATCCCTCTGTATATTTAATCCTGCTAATTAAGAGTTTCACAACCTAATCAAATTTTTTAAAAAAAGATTACAACTTAACACATCTTTAGAATATATTTTGAACTAATTTCATAAACTTGCTAACATCCAGAAGTCATACCAATAAGAATTGTATGTCTAAATGAAATCACTATTTGATTTACAATTTAATAGGCAAATTATTTAAAAATCTCTTCTTTCTTATGTAGATTTCTAAATAAATTAATTTTTACCCCAAAGCCCCAAATTCCAAATTTTGAAGCTTAAGGTAGGGCCATATTTTTAAATATTATGAAATATCAAAAGCAGCAAGCAATGAATATAAATTATTCATTAAAATTAAAATTAAATTATTCATTTAAATCAATTTGAAAATATACTCCAAAGCTAGAGATAACTTTATGTGGTGGAAAGAGGAAAAGCTTTGGAGTACTCTAGGCCAAGTAAGGATTCTATTATTTACCTGAATTATTGTCTAAACCAACTAGAGTGTCTATCATTTATCTACATTAACTTGAATATTTAGGAATTTTATCATTTTCTTTCATTGTTGCCTTGGACAAATTCCTTCATTTCTTCTTTAGAGAAACACTAAGTCATTATTTCTAACAGATCACCAGTGATGGACCAGAATACCAGAACTGAAGCAGGGAGTTACATGTTATATGAATTTCATAAAATGGCAGAAAAAGACATGCAAGCTAAATTGCCAAAATCAAGTGAGAGGCTTTAAAATTGCATGTTTAATCAGGGCTGAAGTTCCCTAACGTTATTCTTATTCAGGATTTTTCCTATGTATTAGTGTCTATAGATGGAGCAGACTGGGCCAAAGCTTTAAAATCTTAGTGCTTTCCTAGCAGGCAGACTCAGAATTTAAAAAAAAAAAAAAAAAAAAAAAAAAAAGACAAACAAACAACTTAGTGCAGTATTATTACCTGTGTGAAATCAGGAAAAAAAGAGAGACAAGAAAGAGAGACAGATTGCAAGGAAGAGGAGGAAAGAGAGGGGTTAAATAATCTCCTCATGGCCGGGAGCGGTGGCTCACGCCTGTAATCCCAGCACTTTGGGAGGCCGAGGCGGGTGGATCATGAGGTCAGGAGATCGAGACCATCCTGGCTAACAAGGTGAAACCCCGTCTCTACTAAAAATACAAAAAATTAGCCGGGCGCAGTGGCGGGCGCCTGTAGTCCCAGCTACTCGGGAGGCTGAGGCAGGAGAATGGCGTGAACCCGGGAAGCGGAGCTTGCAGTGAGCCGAGATTGCGCCACTGCAGTCCGCAGTCCGGCCTGGGCGACAGAGCGAGACTCCGTCTCAAAAAAAAAAACAAAAAAAAACCCACAAACAATCCCATCAAAAAGTGGGCTAAGGACATGACTAGGCAATTCTTCAAAGAAGATATACAGATCACCAACAAACACATGAAAAAATGCTTGACATCACTAATGATCAGGGAAATGCCAATCAAAACCACAATGTGATACCACCACACTCCTGCAAGAATGGCCATAATCAAAAAATCAAAAAACAGTAGATGTTGGCATGGATGTGGTGAACAGGGACACTGCTGGGGGAATGTAAACCAGTACAGTCCCTGTGGAAAACATGTGGAGATTCCTTAAAGAATGGAAAGTAGAACTACCATTTAATCCAGCAATCCCAGCACTGGGTATCTACCCAGAGGAAAGGAAGTCATTTGAAAAAGATACTTGCACACACATGTTTATAGCAGCACAATTCACAACTGCAAAATCGTGGAACCAACTCAATTCCCAATCGATCAATGAGTGGACAAACTAACTGTTTTATATATATATGTGTGTGTGTGTGTATATATATATATATGTGTATATATATGTGTATATATGTATATATATGTATATATATGTATGTATATATACACATACACACACATATATAACACATATATAACTGTTATATATATATACACACATATACATAGAACTGTGATATATATGTGAATATATATATATGATGGAATACTATGCATCCATAAAAATGAATGGATTAACAGCATTTACAGTGACCTTGATGAGATTGGAGACTATTATTCTAAGTGAAGTAACTCAGGAATGGAAAACCAAACATCATATGTTCTCACTGATATGTGGGAGCTAAGCTATGAGGACGCAAAGGCATAAGAATGATACAATGGCTTTAGGGACTTATGGGGGAAAGTGGGAGGGGCGTGAGGGATAAAAGACTACAAATAGGGTGCAGTGTATACTGCTCAGGTGATGGGCGCACCAAAATCTCACAAATCATCACAAAATAACTTACTCATGTAATCAAATACCACCTGACCCCAGTAACTTATGGGGCAAAAATAAAGTGACATAGTAATAGCAAAAATAAATAAATAAACCACAGGCAAACAAATGCCTTCAGTGTCTCAAGCATCTTCCAAAAGTCCAAGGAATAATATACAAGGCAATCCTAACATGGAGAAACCCTGTCTCTACTAAAAATACAAAAATTAGTCAGGTGGCAGAAGAACCACTTGAACCCAGGAGGTGGAGGTTGCAGTGAGCCGAGATCACGCCACCGCACTCCAGTCTGGGCAACAGAGTGAGACCCTGTCTCAAAAAAAAAAAAAAAAAAAAAAAAAAAAAAAAAAAAAAAAAAAAAAAACAACAACACTTAGATGTCTTCATTCCCATTCTCCTATCTGAACAAACTAAAATCTGATGACTTTTATTGGGCCCATGAGACAACAAGTCACAGGACAAACTGCCATCCTGAAATCTGGAGGGACAGGATATGCAGAGAGATTCAGCCACTGTGATCTGCTTAGCTGGAGCAGAAGTTACAGGAGCCATCTCATGTTAGGAATATTTAAATGATAATTTTAACACATTGCTGGAGAATGAATGTGGGCGAGGGCAATAGTGAGAACCCCTAAGGGGGTCGTAGTTTTAGAAGAGCCCTTATAATTTTGCTGAGTTTATCTCCAGAAATCACTCTAAGTTCTCACAGTGAAGAACCAGGATATATTCATTTGGGCCTCTGGCTGCATGATGGGAAAAGTAATCTCTGTGAAATATACTCAGCCTTCTTCATAACAGAGGCTTACACTTCAGGCGAAAGACTTTGCCAGAACTATGTCTCAGGTGGGAAAAGGGATTTCAGCCTGATGTCCTGATGCCTCTGGCCTTCCTGCCTCACTTAACACAGAAATATAATCAGGGCTGGTATCAGGGCTTTAAGAAATTATGTTGCAAACATTGCAGCCAGAAAAGTGAGTAGGGAAAAAGGCAAACAGACGAAATCTGTACTTCTTGTTTCCAGTCTGGCACGTAAGAAGCTTAGAAGTTGCCACTCTGTCCTATTGACATACAAATCTGAACAAACTAAAACAATCAATAATTATTCTTAGAATCATAAAAATAAAGAGGTCACAGGAGCATGATGCTGCCTATAAAATTGGAGAGACAAAGAAGGAAATAAATAGAATTACAACTCAACCAAAGACAAAATCCATCAACAGACACTTCCACAGGGACCTGTGTCAGGATAGGGAAACCCAAATTGTAACTGACAAATTGCTGGGGGCTCAGTGTGAAGTCTGAGAGAAAAAAACTCCAGGGAGACCCAGGCATGAGGGGGCCCCACACTTTTATGACGTTTACCTCCTGGAGCTCTACCAGGTTCTCACAGAGGATATCAGAGAAAAAACTCCCTGTGATTCTGGCAGGGGAGATGAAAAAAAAAAAAAGTTTTGAAATATGCCAGTGTTCCATTCTTCTTAACAAGGTCTACCCTCAGTAGAAACTCTTTAACCCGAGCCTAACCTGCTGCAGTTTTATCAGAGCCTATCTGACCTGGAGAAAGTTGGAAGTACCCAACTAGAGCCCCTTCAAGCCAACCTGTCCCACCTAAGCAGGTAGAAGGAGGTCTGAGACGCACTCATGAAGTTCACCATCTAGGGGTACGGCTCACTAAGAAACAGACCTAATCATAGAACTATAGAAGCGTCCTTCCCCTGACAACTTATCATCATACTATTTAAGACCTATAGAGAGGAATTTTTTCTACTCAGTATATCATATCCAGCTGTCAAAAAGATATTACGAGGATTACTAAAAGATCAAAGATGATTGGAAGAGATAGAGCAAGAAACAGAACCAGATTTATATCTGGCAAAAATATTGGAATTATCAGACTGGGAATTTAAAACAACTATAATTAATATGCTAAAGTCTCTAATGAAAACTACAAATAGAGGATAACTTCCTCAATTTGATAAAAAAATATCTACAAAACACCTACAGATAACATCAGATTTAATGGTGAGAAATTGGAAGCTTTTTCACTAAGATCAGGAACAAGCAAAGCTATTTTCTTTTACCGTTGTTTTTCCACATTATAGTGGAAATCTTATGTAATGCACTAAGAAAAAGGAAGAAAAATTGTATACAGATCTGGAATAAAGTAATAAGCTGTTGTCGTTGTTTTTGTTCACAGGTGACATGATTGTAGAAAATCTAAAAGAATTGTCAAAAAATTCTGAAACTAAAAACTGAATATTTAAGGATGTACAATACAAGGTTCATATTAAAAATCAATGGCTTTCCTTTATAACAACAATAAATAAGAGGAATTTGAAATTAAATGCACAATACCATTTACATTATCACCCAATAAAATGATATACTTAGGTATAAATCTATCAAAATATGTATGAGATCTGTCTGTGGGAAGAATACTACAAAATTATTTTGAAAGAAATTGAAGAACTAAATAAATGGAGAAATAATACATGTTCATGGATAGGAAGACTCAATATTGTCAAGATGTCAATTTTCCCCCAATTTATGGATTCAGTGCAATCCCAATCATAGTCCAAGCTAGTTATTTTGTGCATATTCACTAGCTGATTTTAAATGTTACAGGGAGAGGTAAAAGGCTTAGAATAGCAAACAGAATATTAGAGAACAATATATGGCTAGCACTACCCAAATTTAAGACTTATTTTAAAGCTACAATAATCAAGACAACATGATCTTGACAAAATAATAGACAAGTTGATTAATAAAACAAAATAGATATTCCATAAATAGACCAATATAAATATATTCAACTGATGTTTGACAAAGGAGCAAAAGAAATACAATGGAGAAAAGGTAGTATTTTTAACAATTGGCCCTGTAACAACTGGACACATGCAAAAAATAGAGCTCAACCCAGATCTTACACTCTTCAGAAAAGCTATGTGCAAATGAATCACAAATCAAAATGTAAAACACTGCTGGGCTCAGTGGCTCACACCTGTAATCCCAGCACTTTGGGAGGCTAAGGCGGGCAGATCATCTGAGGTCAGGAGTTCGAGACCAGCCTGATCATCATGGTGAAACCCTGTCTCTACTAAAAATACAAAAAAATTAGCTAGACATGGTGGCACACACCTGTAATCTCAGCTACTTGGGAGTCTGAGGCAGGAGAGTGGCTTGAACCCTTGAGGCAGAGGTTGCAGTGAGCTGAGATCACACCATTGCACTCCAGCGTGGGTGACAGAGCGAGACTCCATTTCAAAACAAACAAATAAACAACAACAACAAAAAACCAGAAAAACAAAAAACTAACTATTAAGCTCCAATAAGGTAGCATAGAAGAAAACCTACATGACTTTGGATATGGTGACGAATTTTTAGATGCAACATGAAAAGCACAATCCAAGATAGAAAGAAATTATAAGTGGGGTTACATTAAAAATAAAATTTCTGTGTGCTCTGTGAAAGACATTGTCAGGAGAATAAAAAGACAAGCCACACACTGAGAAAAAGTATTTGCAAAAGACATATTTGATAAAGGATTATTATCCCAAAATATACGAAAAACTCTTAACACTCAATAATTTAAATGAAGCTTTTTTTTTTAAAGGGCAAACAACATAAACAGTAATTTGACAAGTGAGACCTAATTAAGCCAAAGGGCATCTGCACAGGAAAAGAAACTATCAATAGATTAAATAGACAACTACTGAATGGGAGAAAATATTTGCAAACTTGCATCTGATAATGAACTAATAGCTAGAATCTGTAAGAAACTTAACAAGCCAAAAGCAAATAACCCCATAAAAAATAGGCACAGAATATGAACGGATGCTTCTCAAAAGAAGACATACAAAGTGGCCAACAAACATGAAAGAAATGCTCTACATCACTAATCATCAGAGAAATGCAAATCAAAACAACAATGTGATACCATATCTCACCAGTCAGAGTGGCTTTTATTAAAAACTCAAAAAATGACAGATGCTAGTGAGGCTGTGGAGAAAAGGGAATACTTATACAATATTGGTAAGAATGAAAATGAGTTCAACCACTGTGTAAAGCAGTTTGGAGATTTCCCAAAGAACTTAAAATGGAAATACCATTCAACCCAGAAATCTCATTACTGGGAATATGTCCAAAGAAAAATAAATAATTCTATCAGAAAGACACATGGAGTTGTATGTTCATCACAGTGCTATTCACAATAGCAAAGACATGAAATCAGCCTAGGTGCCCATCAACAGTGATTGGGATAAAGAAAATGTGGTACACATACACCTTGGAATAATACATATCCATGAAAAAGAACAAAATCATATCCTTTGCAGCAACTTGGATGCAGCTAGAGGGCTTATCCTAAATGAATTAATACAGAAACAGAAAATCCAATACCACATGTTCTCACTTATAATTAGGAGCTAAACATTAAGTACTCAAGGATATAAAGATGGCAACAATAAAAACTGGGGACTACTAGAGGGTAGAGCGTGGGAGGCTGGTGATGGTTGAAAAACGAACTATTGGGTACTATGCTCAGTATCTGGGTGATGGGATCAATCATACCCCAAACCTCAGCGTCATGCCATATACTCAGGTAGCAAACCTGCACATATAACCCCTGAATCTAAATAAAAGTTGAAATTAGAGAAACAATCCCCCTCCCACAAAATGAGCAAAAGACCTTAACAGACACCTCACCAAAGAAATACACAGAGGTTAAATATATAAAAGGATGCTCCCATATAATATGTCATCAGGGAAATGAAATTTAAAGCAACAATGACATGCCAGTCCATACCTATTAAAATGGCCAAAGTCAAGAGAATTGAAAACACCAAAGGCTAGTGAAGCAGTGGAACAATAGGAACTCTCATTCACTGATGGTAGTAGTAGAAAATGGGATAGCCACTTTGGAAGACAATTGGGCAATTTTTATCAAGCAAAACATATTCTTACCTTATAATCCAATAATCATGCTTCTTGGTATGTATCCAAATGAAGTGAATATTTACGCCCACACAAAACCTGCACTCAGATGTTTATAGCAGTTTTATTCACAATAGTCAAAACTTGAAAGCAAGTTTGAGTTTTGTACCATAGTTTGTAACACAGTCTCTTTATCCATTCATCTAATGAAGAATATCTACTTCATTAGATGAATGGATAAAGAGACTATGGTACCTCCAGACACTGGAATTTTATAAAAAGATATGAAATATCAAGCCATATAACAACATGGAGGAAACTTAAATGTATATTACTAAGCAAAAGAAGGCAATGTTAAAAAGCTACATTATGTATGACATTCTTGAAAAAGCAAAACTATCAAGACAGTAAAAATGTCAGAGTTCTCAGGGATAAAGGAGGGATGAATTGTCAGAGCATAGAGGTTTTTCAGGTTAGTGAAATTAGCATGTAGGATACTATAGTGGTCATTATAAATTTGTTTAAACCTATAGACTGTACAACACCAAAAGTGATCGCTAATGTAAACTGTAGGATTTGGGTCACAATGACATTTGATTGTAGGTTCATCAATTTCAAGAAATGTACCACTGTGCTGGAGGATGTTGATAATGGGAGAAGCTGTGCATGTGTGGGGAAAGGAGGTATTTGAGAAATCTTTCTACCTTGTGATCAGTTTTTTCATGCAACTAAAACTACTAAAAAACAAAAACAAAAGTCTGCTTCTGAAGATTATACTTTGAGTCATAGGAATACAGGACTGAAATTTAACTAGAAGGTTATAGAATGCTACTGGTCCCACACGTTACCATCATACCAACAAGCCTGGCTCCTGTATAAGGACAAGAGATTACTACCACTGATAGAATGACAAAACACAAAATCTTTCTCAACTGAAGTATTTATGGAAGGCCACAGTGAAGAGATAGTAAAAAGGCCATTAGAGACATGTGAAGCATCTGCCACCTATAGTTACAGAAGAAAGTGCTACGTATGACCAGATTAACAAATTCTTGCATTTAATGCCTATTTACTTTAGTTTTCATTTTCTGATATAATGTGTTCGTTTTTCAACAGCAACAATAGAAATTGCAAGACAGGGCAAAAGGCAAAAAAAAAAAAAAATCTTATAAGTTTCTGCCACTTATAGCTACAACACACGTCTCAGAACCAGACTCTGATATAAAACAATATTAGAATTATCAGCTAAGTAATTTAAAATAAACTATAAATAATATGTGTTTAATTGCAAAAGCAGACAACATGTAAGCATAGATGGATCATATAAACTGAATGATGAAAATATATTTAAAATGAAGTACAAGAAAAAAATGAAAACAATAAAAACAGAACATTCAATAACTCTGGAAACACGGAAGAAGAAGAAAAAGAGAATGCAGGAGAAAAAAACCTTACAAGTAATAGTGGCCAAGGGTTTTAAAAAATTATTGTCAGACACCATATTAGAGATCCAGAAAAATCAGAAAACACTGAGCAGAATAAATCTTACACACACACACACACACACACAGACACATACACTTCACACCTAGACCTATCATATTCAAACTGCAGAAAAAACAGACGAGAAAAATCTTGCAGAGCAACTGGAACTCTCCTCCATTGTCAGTGTGAATAGAAAAATGGCACAGCCATGTTGGAGGGCAGTTTGGCAGTATTATTTTTACAAAGCTAAACATATATTACCTTACAATCCACCAATTGCTCTCTTAAGTATATACTCACCTTAGCTGAAAACTTACACCCACATAAAAACTTGCATATAATGTTAATAGTAGTTTATTCATAATCACCAAACTGGAAGCAATCAAGATATCTTTTAGTACTGGATGGATAAATAACCTTTAGCACATGGATATAATGGAAGACTATTCAGTAATTTTTTAAAGGTAAGATATTAAGCTAAGAAAAAATATGGAGGACCTTCAAATACATACTTCTATATGAAATAAGCCAGTTTAGAAATACTATATACTGTATCATTCCACTTATATCAGAGGTCCTCAAACCCCTGCCCTGGGTCATGTACTGGTACTGGTACTGCTGATCCCTGTTAGGAACTGGACTGCACAGCAAGTTTGGTCCAGTGGCAAGCATGGTGGGGAAGCGGGCATTACTGCCTGACTTCCGCCTCCTGTGGAATCGCGGTGGCACTGGATTCTCATAGGAGCGCGGACCCTATTGTGAACTGCACACGCGAAGGATCCAGTTTGCACGCTCCTTATGAGAATCTCACTAATGCCTGATGACCTGAGGTGGAGCAGTTTCATCCCGAAACCATCCTTCTGTTCCTCCCCTCTGCCCGTGGAAAAATTGTCTTCCACAAAACTGGTTCCTAGTGCCAAAAACACTGGGGACTGCTGATTTATATGACCCTCCACAAACGGCAATAGTATAGAAACAGCAAACAGATTAGTGGTTCCCAGGGGTTCAAACTGAGGGAGAGGGGTGGTTGAATAGGTGAAACAAGGGGCATTTTTTTAATACAGTGAAACTATTCTGTATGATACTGTAATGGTGAATATTCACTATGTCTTTGTCAAAACTCATAGAACTTTACAGAATAAAGAGAAAATCTTTAAATAATGCAAATTTTAAGAAGCCATTTAAGACACAGGCAATCCCAGGATGAAATGCAGATGGTTATAACTGTCTAAGTATATTACAATGTATGAAACAATCTCACTCAAGTTACTGTGAGTAAAGGTGCTGACCTAAATAAGTTTGAAAGTTGGTGAAATTGTCATATTCATGGCAAAAGGGACTGTCCATCAGCATTCTACTCTAGCTGATAAAGGTTTTTCCCATGTAGGTAGAGTTAATAATTCTGAAATTCAATAAGTATAGGGGAATTAAACAATGAGGTAAATAGATGTTGTATGGTGCTAGCCAGCTTTCTCACTGTTGGAGTGGAAGGTCACAGGAAAGCAAGGGAGAAGGTTAGAATGACCTATGAGGTAAAGGAGTGGAGTATGAGGCCCTAGGGATGCATGGTTATCTTAATATAGATAATGATGGTAATATATAGTAAGCCTGGGCAACAGAGTGAGACTCTGTCTCAAAAAAGAAAAAAAAGAAATACATTTAAACGTGTGTGTGTACCTGGGTTAGTATAGACACAAATTTTCTTGCTCTCTCTGCTGAGAGGGACTAAAGGGAATCCCCAGGCCTGAGGCATGGTCTCTTTATCAATACCAGTGAATTATAAGGCTTTCCACATTTCCAGTAGGAACAGGCACTATTCCTGACTCTGTGTGTATACCACATCCTGTTTCTTCCAGTACTTTGGAATACATTTCTTAGACTTGAGTAAAATCCTCACACACATATTCTGATTAGTGTTCTGATGAACTCTTGAGTGGGAATCTCTGCTGCTTTCCAGGGTTCTCTGTCTTTTCAGATCTCTCCTCTTCAGTACTCTAATTATCTTGGTCACCCCGAGACTCCCAGCTCCATCTCCTGACCTCAGGGAATCTGCTGGGTTTCACCGGGTTTTCATCTTACTGTGTCACAGCCTAGACACCCTCTGGTCATTAAGCTAGGATGACCTTAAGGCATAACTCATTTGTTTTATGTCTCTTAGAGATCGCTGTTCTTTGGCACTTGCTTCCCAGGGTCTTGAAAGCCACTGTTTCATGCATTTTGTTAGCTTAGTTGTTATCAAATGTAATCTTTGAGAAAAAAAAGCACAATATTTTAAATTTACTTTTATTACTAAGAATCATCCAACCTTCAAAATGATTTTAATTCACACAGATTATTTTCCCTAAATAATAAGCATAATACCTTATATTAGTGAGTTAATTTGTTCATAAGATACCATGTATAGGATAGACGATAGAGCAAAGACTTAAAATGAAAAGAAAAGCATCCCTTCTTACAGTTGTTTGTCCTTTAACATTTCACCTAGTGCTGTTAGCAATAATCTGTGAAATACAAGACATTTGGCAGGGAGAGTAACTCCTTCATTAGGGTCCAAACTATGAAAGAATCTTGTCATATCAAAGAATTAACAGAAGTAAAATTTCCACTGCCCTGTGTTTTGAAACTTTCTGTCCTGAAATGGCTCAGAACTGAATTTCAGGCATCCTTTATAGGCACATACAATTTAATAGTTCAGGAGCAGGAGACGCACTGATATCTTTACCAAATGGCATTTAGTGTAATATTTAATAATACATAGCTGGCTTCACCTGAAAAAGTATTTTCAAAACCAGGAAATAACTGTGCTGCAGGCTTAGTATTATTAATATGATTTTATTCCATCCTCAAAATCTTCATAAGACTTTGGTTTGGGAGCTCCATTGAGTATCAGGTTCCCCAAAGGGAGGTTTGAAGTGAGTCTACCAAGTCTATCTTCTATCTACAGTGAGAAGGACAGTAACCTTTTGCAAAAGGAGTTCTGGAATGCCTTTGTGAGACAGATTGGTGATAACACTTCTCTCCTTGTGCTTTTCTCCCTGCTTTGGGATTTTATAAAATAACTTGCTTATGGTCCCAGAAGGGTTGGCAATTGAGGCAAGAGCTGAACTCAGCCCCCATCCCAGTTTCCAGGCTTTGTCTTTGACAGTTTCTAACAGCTCATAAATGGTCTTGATGCTGAAACTTTCCTTAGAGGCTTTTTTGAAAAGGAGCAATTGAGGATGTTTGATGAATTCTTATTACCGCAGCTTCCTTTTTCTCCAATGTGTTGTACAGTCATGCAGTCAACAGTAAAATGTATAAGTGCACATAAATGATCCCTCTATTGTGAAAATCACAGCAGAAGACAAGCAATTATGTGGGGGAGTACATTAGGTAATACTGTTTTGCTTAGTTTCGGAGCCTCGGCTTTATTCCGTGTGTTGAACTCAATTTCCATATTACTCAGAAGACATTGATCATTACTAGCCTAAGTAAATATTCATTTTGATTGTCTCAGCAGGCATTCTCTGTGGTCATGTTTTAAATCCTCATACAAGCAAAAGGAAACATTTGATAGATATTTTGGCTGGTGTCTGCCATTACAAAACATACCCAAGCAGGTGTAGAATAATGATAGCATATGAAAAAAGGCCATGTAAACAATATATTGTATTGCCAAAGTAATGCACTCGGTTTATCTCATTTGACCATCCAAAGAATATGTAAAAATAAAATTGCATTCTTAAACCCACGTTAGGGGTGAGTAAAATAGAGCACACAGTATGTGAGGTATGTTGGCATTCCCATGGCTAATAAGAAGTTCTGCTGCAAATTGAATTCAGAAAACTGATGTGCTTAATACAGTGATGATTCAAATAAGAATTAGGTATTATTAATTTGTTCCATCTCTTTCCCTTTGTCTCTGTCTTCGATGTTCTCTCTCTCTCTCCTTTACTGTCATGCAACAGATAAAGAGAAAGCTACAGAGAATATAAGAACATAGAAAGCTCTTTAACAAGACCCCTTAAAACCTGCTCCAACCTAATTCTCAGCCTCAGTACCACTCTGATACACCTACTTGGTAAAACCCCACTTTCCAAGCTCTCAAATTTCCCAAACTGGTTGCATCATGACACTGTGTCCTGGTACATATCACTTCCTTTTGCATATTTCTGAATTCTACCCTTTGCCTTGAAAATACCTCATCTTCAATTATAGACACCTACAAAGGCTTCTGCTGAGTGGCCCCACAGGACTTTGGTCATTATTAACCTTTGTAATTGTTGTACTGTGATATACTGGATTTTCTAGTAAACTCAGGTCCTACAAGACAACTACAAAATATTTTAATCATTTTTTTCCTCAGCATCTAATCTATTTATTAAGCATTGGTTTAATTCAAGAGGTCCAGCCCCATCCGGGAACTCCTCCACAGGCAAATTTAAAATCCTTCTTGAACTCAGGGTTATTATAGAATTTCCAAAATATTGAGACATTTATAATGAAAATAGCCTATAAATCAATTGCTTCACACACACACAAACACACACAGTTAGGTAACTCTTAATATGCTTATGTAACAACTAATATGTCCATTTTCCAGATAGGGGAATCACCTTCAGAAAATAATCTAAGTTACTCTATTTGCATAGCTAATGCTAAGCAAAAAATGAAGCCTAGGCAGGCTGATTCAGGGTGCTACGCATATTCACATATATATTTTTTTAATCGATAAACACAATAATCTTCCATGCACTGATTTAGTTTCTGTACCACTTTTTAAAGCAGAACTGCACCAGCCACTGTATTCTGCTTTGTTATTCTCAACAATATGATACTTTAAGATCAGAGAAGGCACATACTGAGACCAGAGAAGTAGGCCAGGCCCAGTGGCTCACGCCTGTAATCCCAGCAGATTGGGAGGCTGAGGCAGGCAGATCACTTGAGCTCAGGAGTTCAAGACCAGCCTGGCTAACAGGGTGAAACTTTGTCTTTACTAAAAATTACAAAAATTAGCCAGGTGTAGTGGTGCATGACTGTAATCTCAGCTACTCAGGAGGCTGAGGCATGAGAATCACTCGAGCCTGGCAGGCGGAGGTTCTGATGAGCTGAGATCAAGCCACTGCACTCCAGCCTGGGCGACTAATTGAGACTCTGTTTCAAAAACAAAAAAACAAAAACAAAAACAAAACAAAACAAAAACAGAGAAGTAAAGTAACTTACTCAAGGTCATGCTCCTAGAAACAAGTGTTGGAACAACAATTTGAGTTTCAGCCACTCTGAGTGCAAATCCTGAGGTTTTGCACATACCTTATCCTCAGTGGGAGGCATATTATTATCCAAAGAATCATGATAAATGGAAATATGAATACAATACAACACTACTTCTTATAGCGCTCAGGCTGGTATATCTGCATACAATCACATTTCTTAGAAATATGATGAATCTTTTTGTGTGCATGATTACAGTGATAATAATTTTCCTTCATAAGAGAGGTTGGTTGTCTTTAATTTGCTCACATTCAAGCAATAGCAAATGGTTACCTCTGTACTTTCAAAGTATTTCTTTTTTTTCCTCTTTCCTGTTTCCAGATGGTTTCCTGATTCCTATCAGAATTAGTGTCTGTTGATTACACACTTTTCTCTTGGTGATTCTGCTCTGTGAGTCATTATTCCTAGTGGCCATCCAAACAATTCCACCAAGTGTCACATTTTGCCTAAATTGATACTAAAGCCGTTTAGCATAAGCTAATTAAAGCTTGGCTGTCCTTCCTGAACACGCCACATGACTGATGGCTATGAGCTCTATCGTCATTACAGAGCACATTACTTTTGTAGGTGTGCCTTATAAAGCATTCCACAGCTATCTGTTATATTTTCAGGAGTATGTAGTCTAGTATATGTATTATGTTTAAGAAGAATAGTGATTTTAAATAATGCTAGAATAACAGGATTTGGAACTCCTATCTACAGTTCTTTCCAAATTTTGGCCTCCTTCCCTTTCTCTTCTGATTTCCCTATCTTCTTGTTCTCACAGGTGGAGTGTGGAAAACATGAAACATTTCCTGAAAATGAAATAATAGTATCTGTCAAATGAAATCAAATTCACTAACTCTGCAAGACTAAATGCAATTTTTGAGGTAAATTTTAAATTTTTAAGTGCTTATTTTTAAGAAAGGTTGTGTTCATTCTATTAATCTTTGTTCCAGACATCACAGATTACTCAAATAAGCTGTTACTTGCTAGTGATTTTGGTTTTGAATATTTTCTGGAGAACGGGTTATAGAGTTTAAATTATAAGAGTCTTCTTCAGACAATAATAGTTTTTAATGCTCCTCCTTCTCTGCAAGAATATGATTGGTTGAGTGGGTTGCAGAAAAACTTGGTTTTTAGTTTTGTATAAGAGGAACTCTTAGAATTAGTGAATTGAGTCTTCTCACTGCAGTTGAACAAATTGCTGCCTTAGAAGCAAATGTAATACAAAGAGGGAGGGAGTGGGGAAAGTGGGCTATGGTATCAAAATTGGCTTCAGTTTACTCATGTATAAAATGGGCAGAATGTTATTACCAACTCCTAGGAACAGTGTGAGGAGTCTATACAATAATGCATATACAGGGTTTAGTGCAATTTCTGGAACTTAGTAAGTGTCCACTGAATTAAAGGGATGATGTTGAAGATGAGAGAAGAGGTGAGCACAGTTTCATAATATACCCCCTCTAGTTCTTGTCTTGTCCTACTACGCCACCTAGTAGGACCAAGAACAAGATAGGCTAGTCCTCACTAATGGTCTGCCTTTGTTTTGTGCACAGTTGAAAATGCCTAAGCAAATCTTTTCTAGGTTTCTGCACAACATTGTGAATAAAAACACCTACTTACCTCTTATTCCAAAACCCTCCTTTGTCTCTGTCCTGAAACTCCATTGCTTGCAGAATAGACGAGGTGGTTGAAAATCTGTCTGTCAAATCTGTGAGAGAAAACTGGATTTATTTGCAGTAGTTGAGGATGGGGAAACAAGCAAAATATTTAGTTCCATGGGCCAGGCAAAGTTCTAGCATTGCTCTGCAATGACATTTAAAACCCTTAGCAGTCACCATATGATGTGCTTGATTGGTCTTCTATCTACCTACTCACTTCTTTATTCTCCCTTTACTACTCTGTAGCATAAGTGTTGCTATGCACAGTTAACTGGTCTCCAAGATTCCCTTCCCACACGGTGGCCCTTTGTTTTCCAGTGAAGCCTCCTACCTTGTCGATTGTATATCTGTTTACATTCACACCGTTCTTAGCATTCTGCGGAGAGCCAAGCACTGCTCTTGCTACCAGGGAACAGGTGTGGGTAGAATCTGTTTTGAAAAAATGCACAGTGAAGATGGAACCAACAATTGCAGCTAATGGTGTTCTTTACATGTACTCCTGCTAAATGTAGAAGAATGAGAAACAAGATTAAAAAGCCATATGTAGTTTGCAGATGAATATAAACATTACACGTTTGCATATCATTTACTGATGTCACCATGTCATCTGGTCTATTTTGCCTTAAACCTATGCCTTAAATCTGTCCGCTGTTCTATATTTCCTCTGCTTTACAGTGGACTCTCCCTCATTCATGGCCCATGAATGCAAGCAACAGAAAACAATACTAGTCTCATTAAGAAATAGAAAATTTAGACAAATGGTGTCCTTTGCTCCAAAGTCGATGAGAATCTGAAAGACTCTTTGTGCACAGTTGAAAATGTCTAAGCAAATCTTTTCTAGGTTTCTGCACAACGTTGTGAATAAAAATACCTACTTACCTCTTATTCCAGAATGGGAAATTTAGACTGGGAAAATTACAAGGCAGAACAATGGCCTTTCAAGGGCATGAAGTCTTCCAAGAATAGTGTTCTAGAACTGCAGGCACCACCACTGCCAGGGTGGTTCTGCGTTAGGTGAGAGTGGATCTTAACACTTCTTTGACTTTATGTGTCTCAGTCCTTTGAGACTCAAAGTCCTAGTGGAGCATACTAATGGCTGAACTTAAGTTAAGGGTTGAGCTCCGATTGTGATAAGACAAAAAAGAGAAAGATTCTACTCCCTGTTCAGACTGCAGATCAGGAAGCATGCACTATATCTCTGGAATGTACACAGAATGGAGTTCCTCCAAATTAAGAGAGGAATATTAATTGCATACTGGACAGTTTAAAAAAGTAAAATATTTCTACTTCCACTGACTGTTTTGTTATTTTTTTTCGTCTTTCTCCCCAATGAATTCTGCATGCTGGGTTCAGAGTAAGCATTATAAAATGAATATAAAGACTGGAAGCTCTTTTTCATTCTCTTTGAATTGTGCTTTATAGGGGTATAAACTCTTTAGGATGGTTTGCAAAACCTTTTTTCCATATGACCCTGAAAATGACTCCTACCTAATTTTTTTTTTTTAAGACAGGTTTTTCACTCCAGTTGTCCTGGCTGGAGTGCAGTGGCACAACCGTGGCTCACTGCAGCCTCGACTTTGTGGGCTAAAGTGGTCCTCCCACCTGAGCCTCTGGAGTAGCTGTGGCTACAGACACGCCCCACCCTGTCTGGCTAATTTTTTAACACTTTTAGTAGAGGTGGGGTTTTGCCATGTTGCCCAGGCTGGTCTCGAACTCCTGGGCTCAAGGAATCTTCCTGCCTTGGCCACCCAAAGTGCTGGGAAAACAAGCATAAGCCACTGTACCTGGCCTCCTACCTAATCTTCTCCCAATGCCAGACTCTGAAGGACATCCTTCAAGGTTTAATTAAAATGTTCACTCTTCCTTAAACATGCTATTCCTTTCACAATCTATGTGGTTTGCTCAGGTCGCTGTTTCTCTGGTTAATTAAATTTAAAACTCCTACTTATTTAAGACCCACTCAGAGATTTCTTCTTACATCAGTGCATTTCTTGGCTAACATAAAGATGTAAGTTGGCATTTCCACCTCAGGATTCTCAAAAAAAAATTATGAACAGGTAGCTGTAATGACCCTTAGACAAGTAAACAGAAAAAATGCTACGTTGAGTCTTAACCAGATTTTAGCAACTTGAAGACAATCTTTTTTTTTTTTTTTTTTTTTTTTGAGACAGAGTCTCGCCCTGTTGCCCAGGCTGGAGTGCAGTGGCACGATCTTGGCTCACTGCAACCTCCGTCCCCCGGGTTCAAGCAATTCTCCTGCCTCAGCCTCCTGAGTAGCTGGGATTACAGGCACACACCTCCACGCCTGGCTAATTTTTTGTATTTTAGTAGATACAGGGTTTCACCGTATTGCCAAAGCTGGTCTTGAACTCCTGAGCTCAGGCAACCCACCTGTCTCAGCCTCCCAGAGTGCTGGGATTACAGGTTTGAGCCACCGTGCCTGGCTCCATTTTTTTACTTCCATTAAGAATACAGAATAGTTGGGATAGGCAAGATAATGAGGGTATTAAAGTGTTATAGGAGATGGTTACACAACTGAGTGATGAAACATTTTTAAATTCTGACAGGAAAATAAGTACATACATTGGGAAATATTAGAGGCAGAAGAATAATTTAGAAAGTAGTTCAGATAATAGATTATTGGTAGCAGCAATGAAGGTGAAAAAGAGGAAGAAAAAGAGATATTAGGTTGAGAAAACTGAGAGAATTGGGGTTTAAATTCAGCATCCAGAATGTTTACATTGAAATTCATTTAAGTCAACTTTTAAAAATTTAGCTTGTGTGAGACCTTTTAACTGCAAATCCCTACCTCTATCCCAAATTGATTGTTCAGGCAAGTTGTTTATGTCAGGAAATGACACAACGTGGTGGAAACACCAACATCTGTTTCTGACAACTTGCAACTAACCCTCAGCCACACAGCGAAGAGATTTTGAGACCTCTGGATGATCCACATCATGGGGCATTGACACGGAAATATCAATTTCTGAATCTTATCTCACAATAATTCTACACTGGGGGCTTTGAGCATGAAGATTCATCCTGGAGATAATTGCAGTGAACGAGAGTTATACCTTGGAAGATAAGATCCTATCATCAGTATGGTGACTGACAGTAAATTATAGTGGTGTTGATGACACATCTATAATTACATTACAAATATTTATCTCCCAGAAATCCTTCCTGAATCGCTTCTCATATATGACTTCTCCTCCCCTCCTTTCCTCTGCTGAGATCAATTGCGATTGACATCAAATTTCTAGTCTAAAAAAAAGCTAATTTGATTAAAACTTGGATAATAAATGATCACTTGCGCTGAAGGCAGTTCTTCCTGGTTTTTAAAGGCTCCTCTGTAAATAAAGTAGAAAATACGGGTAGAAATGTCGTCTTACTGAAATCCGCATAAACAGAAAAGGAATTGCTGAGAAAGTTCTCCAGCTGCAACATTAAACTTAACCAACTATTTGTTGTGCAGTTTTACAATTTAACATGCATTTGAGCTCTGGTGACATGTGCTGGGCACATGGGTTAGTTACTGAGGTCATAATCACATCCAAATTAATTTTCGAATTTTGTCAGTTCTATAAAATAATCTTTCAATTTCTATGAAATAATCTCTTAACTCTATCCCTTTGTATCTAATTGTATTAGGCTAGCTGCTTTTTAACATTGTTCACCTGGATTATTGCAACAACTCTTTGGCCTTTATGACTCCAATTGATATGTTTTGCTATTATAGTAGATCCAATCATAGGCATTTTGACAAAGATATCTATGTTTAGAAGGTAAGATGGATTTTTATTGCCTACTAATTATCTGAAATCCAAACTCCCTACTCCGGCCTCTATCTAGTGTGTAATGAGAATTCACTGTTTGTCAGTTCTGTGGTTTATAATAGAAATTAGGACTGTCAAATAAGGTATCCATTTTTAATCCCAACTTGTAGGAAAAGCAATTTCAGGTTTACCCTTATTACTTCAAATTGCATCCCACAACAATGTTATGACCCAGGTACAATTATTATGCTATGGATACAGGTGAGAAAACTGAGCACAAAAAAGTTATACCAAATCACATTCTCACAAACCAGCACAGTTGCTATTCAAATGCGTGCTGTAGTATTTTTAAATCTAGTTTCCATTTGCTTGAAAAATCCGTGCTTAGTGCAGAGAAATTCCTGATTAGGAAGAAGGCAGCAGTCTTTTTTATTTTTTTAAAAACATTTGGGATTCAAACTTATTGTTTGCCTGTTTATTTGAAAATGATCTGAATAAATATGAAACTCAAATACATATCTTTCACACTGTGGCATTTGTGGTCTTGAGTATACTCAAAGTGACAGGAAGGAAGTTGCTAATAATAAGTAATATGGGTTGTATTTGCAGCTGGGCACATTACGATACACCAAAATATTTCCTCACCATTTTTCTAGGTTATTGTCATTTCTTTCAAGAAATCAATGCTACCGAAGATGGATGACAGCAGTGACCTGACAGGTGTGATTGTGTTGTGAGTGAGAGATCTTTCTGTAGATGAGTTTTTAAAAACTGCAATTTCCTCTCTAAGAACAAAGGTCATGCAATTCTCTGAATTGCCAGGCAAGAGCCAGGGTGCCTTAGGTGATGGTGCCACTCCTACTCTCTTGGAAAAATTAAGACGTTGATGGAAACAGGTGTAATTAAATGTTTAGTGATGACTTTGCCAGAAGAAATTCCTTTAAATTAGACACTAATGTGATTCCTTCAGTAACGGTATTTGGAGTTATCTGCAGGTGGGGGAAGATAGACCACAAAAGGAATTTGATTTTTCTTGTCATTAATTTTTAATTTGCCTTAAAGCCATCTTTAGGATTTCTTTATAGTTCTCACAGTTTTCCTTTGTGTAAGAGAAAGCATTCCTCCTTATCAATGCAACAATAAAAATGACTATTTATTTCCCATGTATCGATCTCAGCATGCTTTGTGTAGACTCTCAGGCTTACTGTGAGTCGGCAAGGGGAGAGAAATCTGTGTTTTGTGCCTGCTGACCTAAAAATGAAGAATATTCAAAGCCTGGCAATAAAAATTCAACTGAAGGACAGTGGGTTTTCCTTGGATTGTTCACTTAAGATATGACATGAGGAATATATGGATCAGACTCAGAAAAAAGCTATACAGCCACATCTATATGGCTTGCCAAAGTTACTTACTATTTTTGGTTGTCTCTTTTGCATTCCTTACATACTCATTACTTCTGGCTTTCATTCTCTCTCACAATGACTATGATAATAGCTTCCAAACTGGACGCTTGGTTTTGCCATATACCGATAATTTCTGCACATGTCCACTGGAGTGGTGCTTCTAAAAGCACAAATTGAACATGTTAGTCCTCTACTGAAATTCTATTAGAATTTCTATGTTGGTTACAGGCTACATTTTACATTCTTAAGAATGCCAATCCAAGTCTGCTCCTGGTTCACCCTTCTAATTTTGTATCATGCATTATGATACTTCTCTAGTTACATTGTGAAGAATCCTAAATCAAGCCACTTTAAGAAAATAGAAATTCTAATGAGAAGTATATAGAGTTTGTTACTGAGTTGAAGTTTCAGTAACTAAATCCTACAAAAGACAAGAGTACTATGGGGTACAGAGATGAAAATCCTGCCTGGTCTTTCCCTGGCATTTGTCTCTGCCTCCCACTGTCTGTTGTTCTTCCTCCCTCACTGAACACCAGCTTCTCCCATGTGGTGTGTTGAGAAGCAGTTCTGCCAATACATGCAGAACCTCATGGTCTTTAGCTTCTGTCACTAGAAATAGATACTCTTTTTTAGAGTTTTATTAAAGCAAAAAAAAAAAGAAAAACTAGAAAGTACTCTAATTAATTCACCTGGCTCTCTCATCTATTAAATCCTGTATTAATTGGCTGTAGAGTGGACAAGAGCAAGGTGTTATAAAAATTTTTGAATCCCAGCTGCAACTTTTGGTTAAAATGAGAGACAATTTATTCAAAAATAAGAGAGGGTAAGGAGCAGGGAAGAGAAAGAACGGCTTAAACTTAAAATAGATAAGTTCTGTTTATCTATCAGGACCCTCCCTAGGAGTCATCCCTTATCAAGACTTGTTTCTACTCCAGCCCTTCAGGAGAGCTTGGATATATCCTCTTCCATATCCTGAAAATTCTCTATTTTGATATTGCTTGGTAACTTACTTGGTAACTTCTGTTTTCTAACAAAGGAATGAATTTTTGAAATAGAGAGAGGATAAGAAACTGGGTTACAAGATTTCTTTTTAAAATTATTCTTAAATTTATACCTATATATCAATATCTATATCTATGAGCATGTATTGGGGCAGGTCTAGGAGAAGGATGATACCAAATTTATAGCACTGCTTTTGGGGAAGTTTAACTTTTGTTTCTTTTTGTAGTGGGTTTAAGTATGACAGTTTAGCTACTACATTTTTAGTTTTACTCTACTTTTTTCTACTTGGTGCTATAATTTAAACATTCTACGTTATTAAAAATACTTTGTGAATATTTATAATGGGCACATAGTGCCCCATCATACAATATACTTAAAAAATCCCTTGTTGTTGAAATTTATTTATAGTTAATTATATTTTTAAGAATACTGGACAAACATTTTTAGGTCAAGCAATTACGTTATTTAAGCTTCTTCTCTGAACATATATTTTTAGATCTAGAATTACAGGGTTAAGGTATTATGTATTTTAAGACAATTTATGTTGACAAATTATTTTCTAATGTATAATTGAGCATAATGTATAAAAGTATTTGTTTTCCTGTAGATGTACTATAATTCTGTATTATTGTTTTAAGCAATGATCTGATGATAGAATAATGAATATATCGTTATTTAAATTTAAATTTATTTATTTTTCATAAGGTTACATAGTTATCCAGACATATGAGAAGCACTAATTTCTTATTGTCTAAATTTTACATGTCAATTACCATTTCAAAAGGGCTTTCAGTGGATTGCTATACAAATCATTTATAGAAATATTAAGAATATTAATTATATCCAGAATTATAGTTTTGTGATTTATTTGTAGCTTTAGTGGTCATCTGGTTATATTTTTGTAGTTGTTGTATAAATATTTCACTACTTCCAAAATTTGAAAGGTGTTTTTTTGTACACAAATAATTTAATTTAAAGGCAAAATTGCAAAATATATTCTTTCTGGAATAATAACACTATACCAAGTGATATGGTTTGGCTGTGTCCCCACCCAAGTCTCATCTTGAATTCCCATGTGTTGTGGGAGGGACCCAGTAAGAGGTAATGGAATCATGCGGACAGGTCTTTCCTGTGCTGTTCTCTTGATAGCGAGTAAGTCTCATGAGATCTGATGATTTTCAAAAGGGGAGATTCCCTGAACAAGCTCTCTTTGCCTGCTGCCATCCATGTAGACGTGACTTGCTCCTCCTTGCTTTCCTGCCATGATTGTGAGGCTTCCCAGCCACGTGGAACTGTAGGTCCATTAAACCTCTTTCTTTTGTGAATTGCCCAGTCTCTGGTATGTCTTCATCAGCACTGTGAAAATGGACTAATACACCAAGGAATTATTTTATATATTTGGACAGTGAGACAGTATAATTCTATGTTTGGATTTGGACTTTGCCCACAGATTTCTCTTTTAAGAACTGGAGAGATTATAAGGGCTAATGAAATGTCTCAATGATGAAAAGAGCACAGGTATGGAAGAAAGAGGAACTGGAATATTTTTTCTTGCTCCATCCTTGAGTAGTCACTGCTTTCCTCAGGGTCAAAATTCCTTCACAGTTAAAACAAACAAGCCATGATGATCACCATCAGGATCCTTCCAGCTGAAACATTACATGGTTCTATGGTGATAACATTGCTCAGCAAATTGCCTGTCACAGTAAAGACACAAGGAGACATGGGACAAGTATGCCAACCACTTGAAGTGGTCACTATCCTGCAATCAACATCCAAGTGCTTGTTTTCTTAAGAAATTTTTGGCATCACCTGTATTCATTTCCCAGGTCTGTAGTAATAAAATACCACAAACACCATAGCTTTTAAAAACAGAAATTCAGTCTCTCAGAGTTCCAGAGGTGACAAGTCTGAAATCAAGGTGTCAGTAGGGTCATGCTCCCTGAGACTCTGAGTCAAATTCTTTCTTGCCTCTTTCTATCTTCTGGTGGTGGCTATTGATCTTTAGCATTCCTTGGCTTGCAGCTGCATCATTTCAATCTCAGCCTTTGTTGTCACATAGTATTCTCCCTGTGTCTTTGTTTTCACACTGCTTTTTCATCTTTTATTAAGAGTGCCAGGCTGGGTGCGGTGGCCCACACCTGTAATCCCAGCAGTTTGGGAGGCCAGGGCGGGCGGATCACTTGAGGTCAGGAGTTCAAGACCAGCCCAGCCAACATGTTGAAACACCATCTCTACCAAAAATACAAAAATTAGCTGGGCATCGTGGCACGTGTGTGTAATCCCAGCTACTCGGGAGGCTCAGGAAAGGGAATCATTTGAACCCAGGAGGCAGAAATTGCAATGAGCTGAGATCACTCCACTGCACTCCAGCCTGGGCAATAGAGTGAGACCCTGCCATAAAAATAATAAGAAGAAGAAAAACAAGAATGCCAGTCATATTAGATTTGGGCTCACTCTAGTGACCTCATCTTAACTTGATTGAATCTCCAATGATCCTATTTCTAAAAAGTCACATTCACAAATACCATTGGTTAGGACTTCAACATATCTTTCTAGGGACACAGTTCAATTAGTAACATCTCCCCCCTGCCCATATGTGCGTATTTTTAGTGAGTTATAGATGCTCCATTTTCTCAATTCCAGAGGGAAGGATAGGGACTGAGTGTGAAAAGCTATGGACAATTGCTGCTTGTCATTGCAAATCATCTAATTCACATGTGACACTGTGATAAGTCTTGGCACTTGCACCACACACGGAAAAACTCATAGGTGAGGGAGGGGTGGGGGTGAAGATAGAACTGAGGAAGATATGTCCAGAAGAAAATTGAGACATTAGGGATTGACTTCAAATTCTATGCCAAATTTATTGTACTGAGCAAAATAGACTTAACTCCTCTCTGAAAATACGTGAGATTTAATAGGTTAATCAAAAAGTGGAAAAGGATTTGACTTAAAGTTATATGACTTAAAAAATGTATATAGCTTAAAGTTTAGATCCTAATGGCAAGACTCTTCCTATGTTATTTAATAACGGAGACTTCATTGCCTTTTCCATACAATGAAATAATAATCTCCTTCTTTAAAAGATTATTAAAAAATAAATATATAAAATATGTTTTTTAAAAATAAGTAATTTTAATTTTTACTTATGCTACTTTCCAAAAGTGACTTCTTTAATCTTTTCCCAGTGGATTGGTGACTCCCTGAGGGTAGGAACATTTTTATCTTTCTGTCTTCTACATACATACCAGTACATGAAATATAGTCAGCTCTAGGCCAGTACAAATCAAATAACTAAAAAAATAAACAATTCAACAAATTGTCCCCAGAATATCTAGGTGATCAGGAAGAGACTTAGAACTACAGTTAGGGAGATTCCAACATGCTTGTTCTTTTCATTATGTGTGTCCCCAAAATGGACAGAATGTAAAGACATTGACAAGAAGAAAGGAAATGACTTAATAGGGGATGTTGATGCCAGAAAATTTTTAAAAAAAAGTAGTATATGAACTACAAAGAGGCAAAGCAGGGCCTTGGGGAAACTCATAAATTGCATGCATGTTTGTAGAAGAGGGCACAGGTGTAATGGAAGCAGTTTCTTTCCATTGTAAAGCTTAATTAGACACGATGTCATCTGTTCCCACTCACATTTGACCCACTGGAGTATTTATGATGCCACTTGTGCTCCTTTCTTCATTCCTGTGCAGGTGAACTGAATCTGAAGAGGCATCACAGGGTTATTAAAAAGGAAAAGTTGGAGAGTTTTTCAGTGTTCATTCTCCATACCCAAGCTTGAATTTTGAGAAAATTTTGAGAAATTGGCAGTTATTAAGCTGCAAAAGAGGCTGCTCTGGGAGGGGACTAAAGGTCAGCTGCCTATTGGGTCTAGCATAGGTTTTCCAGGGTGGGGAAAATCAGTACACTTAAAAACAACTGGAAGTTAAATGCTTTTCTGTTACCCAGTCTAATGACTCCAGCTGACTTTGCTTGAATGATCATTCTTCCCTTTCCCCTGCTTTATCTACTTATTTTTGTGTGTGTGCCAGTATCTGATATCAGCTTTCTAGGATGTTCATAAGAGAGAGTTCTGTTGCTGGAATTGGGTTGGTATCCCAGGGCCTTTCTATTTTCCCTGTCTGTTCAAGACGCAGGACAAAGCCATTCAATGAGGGAAGGGAGATAGGGATGACTCTGGGAGCCAAGAAGGGCAACTGATATTTATAAAATTGAATTACAGTTGTTACCTCAATAAATCCTCATATCAACTCCACAAAGTAGATGTTATGATCTTCCCTTTAGAAGTCAGGAAAATGAGACTCAGAAATGTTGAGAAACATGTTCTCTTCTACAAAATGTGATGTGGCAGAGCCTAGTATTGACCCAGGTCTTTGGACTCTTTGTGCTGTATCTCCTGCCCATGGGTCAGTGGAAGCCTTGTGTGCTAAAACCAAAATGATTACTTAATACATCCTATGGGAATATAACTGTGATAGTGGGTAGTCTAAGAATATAAGCATGCAAGCCATTAGAGCTTTGAGTGTCTATTTTGTATATCGTCTGACCTATTTCTAGCAGAGTACCTGACACAGAATAGATACCTCATACAATTTTGTTAAATGAATTCATGAAGGCCCCAAACCAACCTTAATACCTATTTTCCAAACAGACAGTGATGGCATCACTAAATGACAATGCTAATAAGGATTTGTCTTTTGAAAGAAGAAATCAGTGTGAAACAGGAATTCAAAGGCAGTGGTCCCTCCTGAATGAGTCTATAGGAAATGCTTCATAGAAGAGGCAAAAAGTGAACTGGCTTTGAAAAACAAACATGCTATAAGTAGAGATAAAAGATTTTGATGGAAAAGGCTTTCTAGGCTTTTGGCAGAGAGAAACCCATGGGCTCATATTTCTTGAGTATCTCTTGTATGACTGGAGTGGCAGAGATGTGTATTAAAGGCTAGTGCCTTTCCAAGACACCTGGATTTGTTTCCTAGGTGAGCTGTAACCAGGTACTACTAAGGTTACTTAAAACAGTAGAAATGTATTATCTCATAGTTCTGGAGGCTAGAAGTCCAAAATCAAGATGTTGGTAAGGCCATGCTCTCTCTGAAGGCTCTAGGGAAAATCTTTGCCTGCCTCTTCCCAGCCTCTGTTGGCTTCCAGAAATCCTTGTCATTCCTTGGATTGTAGATGCCTCACTATAATCTCTGCCTCCACTTCACGTGGCTTTTCCCGCTGTGTGCCAATGTCCAAATTTCCATCTTCTTATGAGGATTTATAAGGAGATTTATAAGGATTTCCATCTTCTTATAAGTCACTGGATTAGGGCTCAACCTACTCTAGTGTGACCTCATCTTGACTTGATTACATCTACAAAGACCCTACCAAGTAAGGTCAAATTCACAACTTCCAGGTGAACAGGAATTGGTGAGAATGGATAGGGGGGCTATCCAACCCAGTACAAACACTAGGGTCACTAAAACAGTAATAAAGCAAGGATTGAATGAAGTCAGTGCGACCTACATTTCATGTGACCTGTATATTTTGGGATACTTGTGTCCCAACTAATTGGAATTTAAGGTCTGTCAAAACATTGCATTATTTCAGCACAACCCCCACTGCTGTCTGCCAGTCACTTCAGCAAACATCCTTCTGGTTCTCTTTCCCAGTGTTTCCTCCTGCTGCTCTGGTACTCACAGGAGGCTTTAATGGACACTAAATCCTCCCTGCCCTATAGTCACTAAATCAGGCTCTTAATAGCATCCTATTAATTGTATAAAATAAGGATTTGAAGCAAACCAGAAAGGTTTTTTTTTTTTGCATTTTAATTAAATTCACATTGGTTTGAAAAATCAGATTTATTGAGACCTTAACAACCACACAACACACATAACTGGGTTGTTAAGTCTCAATAAATATTTTTGAGAAATCAATTGACTTTTGATTAACAACAATATCTGTTTTAATAAATCTCAGTGAAATAAGATGTTGAGTATAGATAGACAGACATTTTAATTAAGCTGGGCTTCTTTACTCTTACCCCTAAATGCCTTGACCCAGAATTGCTTATCTCAGACTTTTTTATTTGGGAAAAGAAAAAATATATCTTTTCATCTGTTTTACCAAAATGGGTGAATAAAGACAATGTCGTTTCTGAAACTGCATGGAGACTGAATAGAAGCTTCTTATGACTTTAGCTTCTCAGAATCTGCACCTTCTCAAAGAAGCCTTCCATGACCACCCTGTATAAGATGTTTTATCTTTCCAAACCATGTGTGTTTTCTTCACATACTTTACGTAATTTTAAATCATGTCATTTAATTATGCACTTACTTGTTGGCTACCAGACATTGCTTCCAATTGTAAATTCCCTAACAACAGCAAGCATAACTGATGTGTCCATCTTTGTATTCCTAAAACAAAGAAAAGTGCTTTTTGTGCATCTGCCCCTCTCTGTCTTCCTCTGTTTCACCTCCTGTATTTCCCTATTCAGCATTCAATGATTAAATCATTATCAGCTACGGGTCTGTGTGCTGTACCAAAATATGAGTTACTTGACACATTTGGGAGCATCTCATATTCTGCTCTAGTTCCAGCCTCCAACACTAGGCCTTGTGCTCAAGTCCAAATAAACATCAATAAATGTTTGTTGAATGAAATAACATGTCTGATATGAAATATTGGAGTCAAGTCTGTAGTCACAGAGCTTCCCTAGGCTTCTGTCATTCAACCAGGAGGGGGGTCCCTCTACACCCTTGAAACTCTTCATCTATATCTGAATCCACCTTAAGAATACACAGCTATATTTCCTAAAAGCTTGATCTATACCCTTTTGTCTGATATTGATAAACTGTTGACACCTTGCTTCACTGGACATGTAAAAATAAATTGCACCCAGCACACCATAAATTACCGCCTCAGAGTCATTTGTACAATGTCAACACTCTGCAATAGGTTGCGGCAATATCCACTGGAGAGGAAAAAACAAGTTGAAAAGGGCTGAAGCCACTATATCTACAAATCTCTTCCAGGAGACACCAGGCAGACAAGAAGAGGAGGTTTGTTCTCACACAAGTTAATAAAACTAAAATGTCTTGGCTTCTAGGGAGTCACTATGAATTGTTATTTCAAAAGAATAGGGCTGCCAGATCTATACTCAGGTGACAATCTGAGTATATATCTCGAGCAGTATGTTTGGCAAAAATGTTACAGTATTCCATTACTTATCGTATAATAACTCTAGAAATTAAATATAGTTAGCTCCGTTTCACATTGAGAAAACTAAGATTCAGTGAGAGGCTACAATCTGCCTAAAGTCACACAGAAAGTAATGCATTCAAGTAAGTTTTGAACTTAAGCCTTGTAACTCTAAATAAAATACATTTTGCTTTAAACTCTTCTGATGAATGTGATGATATAGATTGAATGTGCAAGCAGATCCTAGCCTAAAAAGAACAGTTCCATATTTACACAGCTAGGTGGAGGTCAGTCAAGGAAGGCCAAAGGTCTAGGCCAAATATTTGACATCTACTAGATGGTAGATCAACAAATAGCCCCAGGCGCGGAGGCTCACGCCTGTAATCCCAGCACTTTGGGAGGCCAAGGCGGGTGGATCATGAGGTCAAGAGATCGAGATCATCTTGGCCAACATGGTGAAACCCCGTCTCTACTAAAAATACAAAAGTTAGCTGGGCATGGTGGTGCATGCCTGTAGTTCTAGCTACTCGGGAGGCTGAAGCAGAAGAATTGATTGAACCTGGAAGGGAGGCAGAGGTTGCAGTGAGCCAAGATCGCACCACTGCACTCCAGCCTGGCAACAGAGCAAGACTCCATCTCAAAAAAAAAAAAAGAGAGAGAGCAGAATTCATACACATCACAGAGATAAGCTAAGTCATATCTTGTCTCCATTAAGCAACCAAGATCTTAAGTGATTGGGTGAATTGCCCATGGAGAGCCTGGAACTCCAGCCTGGTACACATCGTAAAAATATCTCTTAAGTAATAGCCATTTATACCAACAGGAATTGTCCATTTAGCTAAAATCCCAGTCCCCAGCCTCAGTCCTTTGGGTTGATAACCAGACTTGTCAGTTGGTTACACCTTTTTCTTTCACATTTCTTCCCCTCATTCCCTTATCACCATCATCTCTTGATGGGCAACCCCGAAAAGATTGTGGAAACGTCTCCCCTTGAATTTGCTAGCACAATCTACTGATTGCCTGATATACGTGTCTGTTCAAAATGTGGCACAAATGTTTGGTTAAAGATAATGACCCAGTCTGAAAATGACTGTGATAAAAATGTCATGTAATTTTCCAGGGTGACTTTGAAGTAAGGCTTACCATATAAATGTGGAGGATTGAGAGAGCCAGCTATTATTTTCTTCCTTGATGAGCAATAAATTGTTGCCTCCTCAGCCCCAAAGTAGTGGGCAGTCTCCATATTGCTAATTTCTTTCCTCCTCTCCTATAGCTAGCTGGGCTGAAGCAATACCCAAGACCCTCCCAGGGCAGTAATTCCCAGGAGCACAGTTTTTTTTTTTTGTTTTTGTTTTTTTTAACAACTCACTGCCTCAAATAGCTGAAAGGACACGGAGATTGAAGTCAAGCAGAACTGTATTGGTATTAGCTCGATGTGGATTTTTAAGAACAACTTGAGCCCCTGTTTTCTCTCCTGTAAAACAAGAATTTTTTTTTTTTTTGGAAGGACCAAATTAAGCAAAATGTGTAAAATATCTAGCACATAAGAGTGCTTCTCAATTGTGAGTTTATATCAGGCCATATTTGTTAAAAATACAGATCCTTGGGCATTTCCCAGTGAGATTCTGGTTAAATCAGTCTGCATCGGAGGAGCCTAGAAATCTGCATTTCTAACAAGAACTTTACCTACTTCTAACACATACCAAGCAGAACCATGCTTTGAGAAACATGGGTACTGAAGGATATAACAACAACATAATTACCCTTCATTGTGTGCTACGTGCAGGACCCTGTGCCTAATCTATTCTGCACTTGGCATAAAACATGACATCATACCCAGGAGATGCTAGTGTTTTATGTTCCTTAAACTTCTTTTCTCTACTGATTGTTTGCTAACTGGGTGTAGCCCTAGGAGAAACAGTAGATGTGAAACAGACTCTGTTGTAGGAAGCAGAGCTGAGGGGTCTGAAGCCAACTTCACATTGGAGATGGATCTTTTTTCCTGGGTAGGGACTTCCAGTAGTAGTTTTCTTTCCAAGCTGTACCTGATCTTTAGAAGTTACTCTGTCCACTTGAACTGTTGAGTCCTCTCTTCCCTACGAGCCTGTCATGGGTTTGCTCGATGTTTGGTGTAGCAGCTTCAACCACAGGGTACCTACTGTTCTGGAAAAAAGGCACCATTTTCTCCATGCCAGTTAGAGCCCATTTATTTGAGAATGAAACAAAAGAGATTCGACGTGACTTTATCTGTTTTGGGTAGTGTCTTATACATGTCTCTGATTTTCCTTCACCTTTCTGTAGCATTGCAGCATTTGAGACAGTCTTTTATTTTCTTTTCTCTATAGCTCAATTTTTTCTATCTTTTATAAAGATGAGAAATTTGAACTCCAGGACCTCACTAATTGATTAATTTGACATAGTAATGTTTGTGAAAATATTATGCAAATTTTAAAGAGCCAGAAAAATGTCCCTTAATATCAGTATCTATTATGAACATTACTATTATTTTCTCCTTCCTCTCTTTGTATGAATAGGCAACAGCTGAGTCAAAACTATTCACAAGTCACCTGCTTTATATGAAGCAATTTGCCTTGCTTTTCTTAGATCTAATATTCAGTAGGAAATATATATGGTTGACTGAAGACAGTAACAATGTTCCCTCTGAAGGTCAAAACTTCCGACTAGTGACTCAGTCTAATTAGGTTAAGCTTAAGGTGATAATGTGTGGATTGTCAGCAGCTAGAACATTTATTCTTATTTTTTTCTAAACCAGTGTCCTTTGAAACAGCCAATTAACTACATGAGATGCTACAGAGAAGAGCATCCAGATAACTGGAGATTGAATTGAAAGGCTTTACTTCCCCTGACAGAGCAGAAAGAGAGGTTGAGTACCTGACTTCCCTTTCAAAGTCAGTGATCCATGCAGCACTTTTGATTGGAAAGATGTGAACCTTTTCAATCCTTGGTGTACATATAAATGGAAATGCTAAGGAAATTAGTCAGAGTCTGGCCAAGAAGAACTGAAGTATAGAAGAAGCCTAACTGCTTTCCAATGCAATCAGCTGTCACTGGAGAGTATTATAATTTCCAGTTTTCTTATTTAAAAACCTGTTCAAAGCAATCAGTAAGGGATAGCGATGTCTAAAATGAATGCCGAGTCAGAAAAAAGCTGAAAACTAAAATCATTCCTATATTATTTTATTTGAAATATGTCCAGGCAGTCTTTTACTTGGGGAGCTTTTTTAGAGGCCTGGAAAATTCAGTCACAAACTTCTATTTAAAGTCAAAACAACTGGGTACTCACAGTTCTTAGTTCTATAATCTTTAGCTAAACCTTCACAGAAGACAAAAGTACTAATACTTTATTAGGAATAAATAACTCCTCACAGTTCTTAGTTCTATAATCTTTAGCTAAACCTTCACAGAAGACAAAAGTACTAATACTTTATTAGGAATAAATAACTCCTCACAGTTCTTAGTTCTATGATCTTTAGCTAAACCTTCACAGAAGACAAAAGTACTAATACTTTATTAGGAATAAATAACTCCTCTGAAATTTACAGCATGTGTAAGGATTTGAACGAAGGAAATGAATTAGGGTAACATCATCGGATGTGGGAGAATTAGATACGGTCCCCAGATTGGAGCAATCTCTTCCCGGATTCTAAGAAATTTGTTTTGTTCCTGACTTTGATTCTTTTATCCTTAAAATGAAGGCGTGAACTAAAAGTTTCTTAGGTCTTTTATTACAATAGGCAGAATGTTCATGTTTCCCCCAAATTCTTATGTTGAAATCTAATCCCCAAAGTGATAGTGTTTGGAGATGGAGCTTTTAGGAGATGATGACATCATTAGGGCTCTGCGGTCATGAATGATAACAGAGTTCTTGTAAAGGAGATCCTACATAACTTGCTTGACTTTTGCCACATGAGGACCAGGAAGCAGGCCCATGCCAGACATGAGATCTGTCAGAGCCTTGATCTTAGACTTCCCAGCCTCCAGAACTGTGAGACATCAATTTCTATGGTTTGTAAGCAACCTCCTCTATGGTATTCTCTTATAACAGCTCCAGGGACTAAGACACTTGCACATACATGATTGTATAATTCAAAAAGTTGCTAAATGAATGAATGTTGAGTATTTTATATGTGTCAGGCATTGTGGTGAGCCCAATCAAAGGCATTGTCTATACCCTCATGAAATTTAAGGTCTCTGTGAGAAACTTGCAATATAATCATAAATGGGACAAACTACTGAGAAGGAAAGGATCTGGTTCTATGAGAGTATATAAAAACGCAACCTGGCCTAGGCTATAGGACACTAAGGAAATGGCACATGAAATCATCTGAGAAGACTCAGGAGAGACCTGGACGGAGTGGCGGCAGCAGTGCATTGCAGGCAGAGAGACAGCACATACAAAAGGCTCAGTGGCCAGAAGGAGCACAGAAGGCTGAGCACTGGAAAGAAGACCAGAGTGGATAAATCACGAAGGAAATCCTAAGTTCATAAATGTAAGACAGTAGTGGCAGGGGACATAAGCAAGATTTTTTCTTTTTTCTTTTTTTTTTTTTTGTGATGGAGTCTCACTCTGTCACCCAGGCTGGAGTGCAGTGGCATGATCTCGGCTCACTGCAACCTCCACCTCCCAGGTTCGAGTGATTCTCCTGCCTCAGCCTCCTTGAGTAGCTGGGATTGCAGGCACTCGCCACCACACCCGGCTAATTTTTATATTTTTAGTACAGGCGGGGTTTCATGATGTTGACCAGGCTGGTCTCAAACTCCTGACCTCGTGATCCGCTGGCCTCGGCCTCCCAAAGTGCTGGGATTACAGGTGAGAGCCACCGCACCCGGCCCATAAGCAAGATCTTACAATATATTTGTTAAAGCATTGCGAAGGCATTGACAGATTTCAAGCGTGATGGTGATGTCAAGATCACATTTGCATTTTGTGCAAATCTCTGGAGTTATTGTTTGGAGAACATATTAGAAAAGGGCAAGAGTGGGTACAAAGAGGCCAGTGAGGAGCTTATCATGGCCATCCTTACAAGAGGTAAAGATGGTGTGAGAAGGAGAATGAAATAGATATAGAGAAAATTTTATGGAGTGGAGGTAAATACACCAGGTAAAATCACGAGAGGAAGAAGGAATGTAGGATATCAGATGGTCTGCTATTTAAATTTCCCAGAATTTTTAGAAGACACTATGAAGAAGACAATGTTAAAAACTTAATACCTACTCAAAATTAAATTGATTAATGAAGAAATTATCATTTATTAAGCCTCCAGCCTTTTGATATGTACTTTAAATATGTCTTCTATTTTAGTCTCTATAAGCAGATAATCTTGTGTATACATACAACAAATGAGAAAAAGGAGGCTATTTTCTCGGAGGAAAATACTTTGACATTTGTGCCACAACCATGGTTAGACACCAGAATTTAGTTATTTGGGTGAGCTTGTATGTGTCTTATTTTCCTTGAAACCCAGTTTCTTTATTGGGCAATGAGTTAAACAAATTAATATTATAAGCTTTCCTATTTCTGAAGTTCTGTTCTTAAGCATTTGCCAATTTTCCTTAAAAATCCTGTAGTTGGCCTCTGAATGTTGACCTAGTATAATTATGTATGAGAGCAATTACCTATGTGCTTACAACCATCTCTCGTGCATTTTGTACTGTCTCTGATTGATAGGCTCCAATCTCCCCAATCACTGAATACTAGAGAGGGGCCCTGAGAGTCTTTAGATTCAGAAAAACCAAAGCTATCAAAGCATGTGGGCCTCGTCTTTCTTTACCATAGATCTCATTTTCTGGGACACGCCTGGATCTGCATTTCAATCGGAAGCACACACACATCCATTAATCAGCCATCACAGGAGAGTGAGCGCTGAGCTCAGACCATCACTCTCTCTCTCGTTAGCACGCATTACATTATACCCGTTGGATTTATTTTTATCATTATTCTTTTTGTAAAGAAACGTCAAAACCTAATTTCTCTATTAATATTGATGTGTTCAAGTTCTTGAAGCCAATTAGTTTAGACAGTTAAAGTATTTAACCAATGCTTAGAAAATCTCAAGGATGTTAACACTAGGCTCTATGAGAGTGATTACACAATGCATCGTGTAAGGCGACCTTTTCATTTAACAGTTTAGTTTAAGGAGAGAGATGTGTCATCAGTTGTTATCGCTACACTTTGAGGAATTCAATTCAGGAACTACTAGTAGAGTTTGTATTGGGTGAATAGACACAAATAATCAAAAAGTAGTTTTCCTTTAAAAGTAAGGGTCAGAAATTAGGTCTGATTTTGTCCTGTGCAGTATCAGCTCCAACCCAGCTGCTCTGAATGTGCTCAATCACCAAGTCCCTCTGTTTTTGCACATTAAATATATCTTGGATCCAGACTGCCTTTCCATCTCTTGTGCCACTGACTTTATTCAACCTGGAAGTACGATGGCAATAACTTCATTACTGCTTTTCCTTTGGTCTTGACCAATCCCAAGCATTCTCTACTTAATATCAAAGCATTCCTAATATGCATTCTTCCTTTGTCCACAGTCCTTTATTGGCTCTCTTTTACTAATGGGATAAAATCTGAGTCTGGCCTGTGGTGCACAGTGGTCTCTGGGAGTGTGACTTTTGTTCCATTTCCATCCTGTCACTGCCTGCCTTGCATTCACTGTTGAACAGGACACCACTATTCATAAATTCTAACACAAGATAAGGCTCCCTTTGTCAAGAAATCTTTGTATATATTGCCCTATCTGCAAGACAAAATCAAGGAGAACATGTGTAATCTAATCATTTAGAAAGAATGCTAAATTATGAAGGTGTTTTCCAGGACCAGAGGGGAGCTTGGATTCCTAAGTGGCAGATCTTTAGGCAACAGGAAGAGACTTTTTGGTGTTATAGAATAATAATAGAAGTGACGGGGAGTACAGCCAGAAACATAAATAGGGGGAAGATGAACGGTTTTAAAAGCCATATCAAGGACTGGTGATATCGTGATATGATCATTGAAATGATTTACATGAATAAACAATCCGTGTCTATGCACCAACTCTAAGATAAGTCATCTCATTATCAGAAACTTTCTTGGTGTGCCTGGTATCAGAGCTAGGGATGTCAGTTGCATCAGGCTCTCATAACTGTACCCTAAATCTGTACCATAAAGACAGATATGCAAGCTTAGACACAGTTTACCACCCTGAGACTCTAAACTTCATCTGTTGACTCATTCTTTCCTTAGATATAGTGATATAATTTATGCAGTAACAGCATTTGTCAATACAATTCAACTAAAGTTCTCTTGAAAAATCTTTAACATTTTCCATTTCATGAAGCAATTTTCCGTAGATTTTTTTTTTCCTAAAAATGTCCCCTAATAAATGTGATGTGATACTATGTGGAAGAAAGTCCCTTTGCATGCACAATCTTTCCAGATACAAATATGTGACCTATACCTTGCCACCCAATAGGGATAGATTCCATCCAATAATTGGGGGAGAGTTGAGATATAAACATTCTTATAATTTAAAAAATGTGGAATATAAAATAACTGTTGAAGAAAATAATAGAAATAGAAGCCATCATGCAGCTTCTGATAGATCACCATGTGAGTGGCAGTGACAATAATTGCTATAGGATTTGAAGAAGGGTCAGAGAAGGCTTTTAAAAGCAGATGAAATTGAAACTCAGTCTGAAAATATAGGCAAGATTTGAATGGACGGGGAGTGGGTGGCATTCTTGGTACCTGGGTCTGTGTGCTGCGATTACCTTCTTAAGCAGATGATAAATTGTCTCTAATGTACAATGAGATTCTCTCAAGACAAATGGGACTTCCCTAGCTGTCGAGGGGGTTCCATAGACTGAGCAAATGATGAGAAGATTAGAAGAGACAGCAATGAAAATCCTGTTTTCTTGCTAAACTCAAGAAAGGCACTAGACTGGAAAGCTTCAAGGGAAAGAGGTTATCAATGTGGGGGTGAGCTGTATATGAGGCTTCCTGACATGCTCTTTTCACTTCCCACATTCTTTAGGTATTCAAAAAACACTATTTAGTGACTGCTGTATGCCAAGCATGGGCATTATTCTTTGAGGGTTTGTTTGTTTCTTTGTTTGTTTGTTTAGATAGAGTCTCCATAGATCACTAGGACCTCAAACTCCCATGCTCAAGGAACTCTCCTGCCTTAGCCTCCCGAGTAGTTGGGACTACAGAAATGTGCTACCATATTCAGCTAATTTTTAAGCTTTTTGTAAAGATGGTGTCTTGCTTTGTTGCCCAGACTACTCTTGAACTCCTGCCTTCAAATGATTCTTCTGCCTCAGCCTCCCAGAGTGTTGAGATTACAGGCATGAGCCACTGCACCAGACGATGAGCCCTATTCTTTAGCTGCTTCTGAATATCCCCTGCTATTCTTAATGCTGGTCTTGAACAAGTTTCCTTTCATTACTTTCACAATACAGGTTTTACCCTGCATATAGCCCAGTGAGAATGAATAAAAGCAGAGTCTTTATAAGTAGATATTGACTTGAATCCCAGCTTCTTCTCTGATTATCTATCCTCTGTCAACTTCTTTTCACCTCTCTGAATTTTAGTTTCCTCATCTGTAAAATAGACATAAGAAAACTAATCTCATCCATTCTACCAGCAACCTTGATAAGTAAGTAATGGTTCTCAACCACCAGTGTGCATTAAAACCACCTGAGAAGTTTGTCATAAGACTTAAGTCTATGCCCTGTGTCCAGAGATTGTGGCTTAATTGAACTGAGAGGGTACTTTTTTTTTTTTTTTACATCTTCTTCAGACAGTTGTAATTTGCTGCCAGAGGTAGGAACCATTGAGATAAAGTATATAAAGTGGCAGGTGCAGTCCTTGAGCTGAGGATCTTAGTAAGTGCTAACTGGTGCTTCTCACTTGCATTTTTTCCAGTTTTGATATTGTGACTGGGGAAAAAAGAAGACATTTGCAAGATATTTATCTGTAAAGGAGTTGTATCGGTAACATATAGATAACCATTACAACTCAGTAAGAAAACCCAATTAAAAATGGCTAAAACAACTAAAAATGGCTAAAACAAATATATGAAATAGAGAATATATGGGTGGAAAATAAGCACGTGGAGCAATGCACAAAATAGTCATTTGAGAAATAGAAATTAAAACTCCTGTGCAATACTCAAAGTGGCTAAAGTTGAAAAAGACTGACCATAGCAACTGTTGAAGACAATATGGAACCATTGAAATGTTTATAAATTGCTGGTTAGAATATGAAATGGTACAACTTCTTTGGAGAGCATTTTGGAAGCTTCCCATGGAGTTAAATATTTATACAACCCAAAGATTTCAATTCTAGGTATTTACCCCAAATAAACAAAGTATGCAGATATTCAAAGAGATTTATTTGTAACAAACAAAAACTTGAAGCAATGCATATTTTCTTTAACAGATGCATGTTAAACAAATTGTGGAATATCTCTACAATAAAATACTACTCAGCTAAAAAAAAATTAACTATTAACACAGAAAAATATGAATGAATCTCAAAATAGTAATGTTGAGTGAAATAAGACAGAAAGTAGTGTCTACAATGTAATTCCGCTTATATAAAATTGTATAAAATTCAAGTTAATAAAAAGTGACAGCATGCTAATGGTTTCCTGTATACAGGAAAATTTAAGGAAGGAGGGAATGAAATTTTAGTGATGCATAAGGAAATCTGGTGAGATAACAAATACCTTCATTATCAATTATGGTAATGGTCTCACAGATGTATTTATATGTCAACCTGATCAAATTGTATACTCTAAATATGTGAAAATTATGGCATGTCTATTATGCTTTAATAAACCTCTATTTCAAAAAGCACAATAAACATGCCTACGGATGGAGGGCTGGAATAGAAAAATAGGTAAAAGACTACTCACCAAAATAACTTTCCACCTGTTCCATTTACAATGTTTTTAAAACATTTTGGGGCATATATATATATATGTATATTCACACACACATACACACACATATATATATCTATACATCCACACACATACATATATATACACACATATATACACACATATATATTATATATGTACATATATTCATACACATATAAAATATTGTCTTAATAAATATTTCATACCTGGAATGATCTACATTTTATTGTAATATGTATTAGTTATCTATTATTGCCTAGAAAATTCCCTAAAACTTAGGTGCTGAAAATAGCAATATTAATTATCTCAGCTCGAAGACTGAGGTTGGAATCCTCCAACATAGAAGTCATGAAGCGTCGTGTGCAAATTCCAGCTCTACTGAAGCTATAATTTTGGAGAGTTCACATGGAGATGTTTCTTAGAGATAGCGGGAAGTGTCCAAGGGGCCATAGCTGCTCCAGTTTCAGTCGTCTGAGTCTTTTTGCACTAGCAGCACAAATATGAGTGAGTAAGCCTTCTGATAATTCTATCTCCAGCCTTCAAGCTACCCCAGACAATATCTAGTGCAGCAGAGACGAACTATCTCTGTTAATTCCTGTCTCAATTATAGATTCTTAGGCAAAATAGATGTCATTTTATGCCACCATATATTGTGGTGATTTGTTACATAATATTGGATAATCGAAAGATTTTTTTGTACCTGGAGCTAAGATGCTGCCATAATAAAATCTGAAATGTGTGGTTTCGGCACTGAGTGGTAAATGGAAGCTAGAGGAATCTTAAGGACAGTTTGTGCAAATGTAAAAGTCTTGAAAAAGACTATTAATGAAAGACTGAAGGTCCCCTTAGAAGGCCTAGGAGTGGGGCGAGGAGCAATTACTTAATCAAAAACTTAATAGTTGGTGAAAGGGAAGTGTCCATTGACTCTTCACCAGATAACATTAATAGGGCTTAATTAAGAATACAGATTTTATTCCAAGTTCAGCATGTAATCATGAAGTAGTTCAAACAACAAAGTGACATGATGTAACTTGTATGCTAGAAAAGATGACTCTAGCTTCTTGTAGAGAACAGATTTCAGTGATTCAAATTAAAATGGACCAGTTAGGGGACTTGTGGTAGTCCCATTGGGCAGTAATGGAGCCTGGGACTAAAGTGGCATTCATGGAGATAGAAAGAGTGGATAGGCTCAGGATGTTCTCTACAGATAAAGAACAGGAGCCAGAACTTGATGATAAAATGAAATGAATGTGTAGCAAAAATAAGTTTCTACCTTTATTTGAGGGTTCTTAAGAAGGTCACATAAAATGAGTCTGTAAGTGTTTTATAAATATAAAGCTTTTAAATTTTTTTCATGACATTTCATGTCTATTGATATATGAAGAACTCTAGGCAGGTTTGCTTGACTTGTTTCCAACCCCGTCCTCTACAGCACAATGCATCTTGTTCAATAGTCTTAATGCATACATGAATACCATATAATGCTTTGCCCGCTTTATGGATGAACACTGACTATATCTAAATGGTATCTATATTTCCTTTGAATACTGCAAACTGGTATTTGATCATTTCATTTTGCTACAGAAGATGAAACATTATGATTTTCAGTAATCCATAAAGACAGACATTTGTTTCCTTTGTGAAACTGTAGCCTTCAATGATTATTCCTCACATTAATCATAGTAAAAGCAATGCTTAAGGTAATCTCTTTCTTCTTGCGGATAATAAATGTCTGCTGTTGACAGAAAAAGTGTGGAAAGGTGAAAGGCAGGGTGAGCTCTCTGTGTTCATGAGATAAACAACTGTCATCATCTCCTAAGAGCGCTATGATCATGAAAAGCCAAAGTTGCCTCTTTACATAACATTGACAATAAAACTAATTTTTCCCTAACTGATGTTTCAAAAGATTTCACTGGGGATATCTAAGCTACAATTTCTATCCAGAAGTCTAACTTTATTAAGTGTTTATAAATTCATGGTTTATATTGTTAAACACTGAAGAAATTAGCATCTGAAATTGCATTCACAGCCACTCTCCTCTTAAAATTGTTGGTGACTTATTGGTCTACAGAAGCATAAGATAACCTAGTGATTTCCTCATCAGAAATGACCAAGATCATAACTGAATGTGAGATCTTGAATGTGAATCTAATCCAGGATGTAAAAAGGTATGAACTACAAATGAACAAGAAAAATTACAAAAAGAAAAGTAACAAATAAGAGTACCTACTTTCAAGCAAAGTTCCTGGGGATACATTTTCATGGGTATATAGCCATGAATTTCACTTGACAATGCTTGCAGGCAATGAAGACAAGGGAATGACATCTATTTAATACCCGTTTTGACATTGCACTTTATGAATGGTTTCCGTAGATTGCCTCATTTAAGTCTGGTGAAATCCAAGCAAGTAAGGTGTCACTACAAAGCCTTTTGCCAGATTTTTATAAATGAGGCTCAGATAGGGAAAATGTGACTCATGTAGGTCATGAAAATTTCTCAAGTATTTATAAATGCTGCCATCGCTAAAGGTAGCTATGTCTGACTCCAGGCTTATGCTTTCTTTCTTCCGCCAAACTAGAGTATGCAGGATGATTTCAAATTATTTTAAATGATGTCTTAAAGTGGTTTGAGGTTTTAAAAATAATGTTTTCTTCAAGTACCATGCATGGGCCACAACATTTCTAAACTCTATGGCGTTTTTATATCTAATCTCATTTTTTAGAATATGTTGCCTGTCTAGAAAACTCTCACACACTTAAGACTCAGTTCTTATGATCCAGGACAAACGTGTTCCCTTTGCGGATGACTTCCCTGATCATGACAAGAAGAGATTATTGCTGTTCCACCCACACACCCACCACATGCACTTAACACACTGCATTCAATTAACTAACTGTATGGCAACCTGTTTTCATCCCCAGGCATCCTGGGAGACACTTCACAGAAATAATCATGTACTACTCAACTTTGAATCTTCAGTTCCAATTCAGGTGTCTGGCCCGTAGTTGTCATTAAATTAACATTTTCTTAATTAATAAACAAGCACATACTGAAAGTAAAATATTATCGTGTTTATTATAAATCTCACACAAATATATTTATATATCTAGATCCCTAGTTGGGAACAAAAGACAATTCAATCATAATCAAAGAGAAAATGTTAATTTTCAAATAATTAATGTGCATAAGAAGAAGTTCATGTGCATTATCTGTTTCATCACAGTGCTGTCATTAGTACGTTGACTTAGCTCATTTTATAGCCAAGGAATACAGACATTTTAGTTCTTTTTAAATGTGTCTGGAAGTCAAAATATTAATTTCAATATTTTACCCTGCTGAAATACATGAATTTATTTTGATAAATATATGAGTGAATGATGGATGAATAGATGAATAAATAAAAAATGAATGAATTAAACTCACATATACGGTGAAACAAATAGCTTAGTTTTAGTGACCACAGATATTAGACTTACACAAGGTATATTACTCTTTTCTTTAAAAAAACAGAATAATATACAAGGGTCAAGTACTATGACTTGATTAAGCACTACTTAATATATGCTTAACTGTAGCCAGGAGGAAGGCCATGTTTCTTTTATAATGCGTGAAATATTAGAACTAAAACCTTCCTAAATTTTAAATTCTTTCAGGAGATATGAATAGTTAAACACTTGTATAATTTTGGAGGTAAAATGAGTTTCAAGGGAGACCTAGAGGAATTTAATAATAAGGGCTAATTTTTAATTCACCAGAATTCCACACTGTCTAATAAATGATATCTCTATATTACAGATGTCTTACTTGATGCTTTAACGCACAATCTATGATTCTTAAAGTAGCCAGATTAAATTAAGTGACTTGCTCATGTCTACACAACTTGTAAAAGACAGAAGTCTGTGTAGATATAACAATAAAGCAAGAAAGATAGATACAGAAAGGGGCAAATCAGAGAGAAAGAAAATGAGAGAATTATGTGTGTGTTCAACGTCACAAAATACTTTACAGTGTACAAGGATTATGCATGGAATGAATCCTAAAGGATGAGAAGGGCTTCAAAGGGCAAACAAGAGAATTCAAGGCAGAAAAATTACCCTGCGAGAAATCATGAAACCTTGAGAACAAGGAACAGCTGAGAAACTTCTGGAGTTCTGTTACCTTGTCCCTAGATGGGGCTGATAAATGATGTGGAATGAGGCTGGAGAAGTAGGCTAGAGTTTAGGCTCCAGAAAGCCTTTGATGCCATGTTAAACTTCTCATGTTTTACTCTGTTATCAAAGAGGAGTCACTGAAAGGTTTTGAGCTGATCTTATTGGCATTTAATTTAAGAAAGCCTACTCTGGTTGCCTGGTGGCCTAGATGGAGGAGTGGTAGTGAATTTGGCTATGAGCAGATCAGTTAGAAGGATATTTTAGAAGGCCAGGTGAAAACATTGAAAGGAGAAAATAATGGAGATCTGGACTAGGGAAGTGCCTGTGGGATAAAGAGGGAACAAATGGAAAATAGTTTTAGGTGGTAAATTAAATATGAAATAATAATCTCTTTTATGTGGTTGGGTAAAGGAAGGAGAAATTTAGGAGGTACTCTGAGTTTTCGCATGAGGATAATGGAACCCTCATTATCAGTGCATGGATCGGTATAAAAAGTGCCAAAGTCAAAAGTTAAAATATCTCTGCCTTCAGACAAAGTTTCTAAGTGCACATTCATTTTTTTAAATTTTAAAACACGTAAGATATTTCAAGCAGTTTTGTCAGTGTGCTTAGGCATCCCTTCAGAAGAGGAAGGAGAAATTGGAGCTCTTTCTAATTCTTGTCAAGTCTTTTATTCTGAAACTTAAATGCTATAGTTCTTTGAATTTTGTTTTCAAACACAAATTTTTATGTTTCACTCTTATGAATTGATAGTCTGAATTGTGCATATGAGAGATGGTTTCGATCTTATTCTGGTGATTGTGCCATTAATTTATAACTCACTGGATACTACTTATTTTCTCTAACTTAGTCCATCCTACCTTTTAAAACATCCTCCTCTTTCTATCAACTCAATAGTGTATTCAAGTCTAGACATGAAATAAATATTTTGCAATTTAAATTTGAGTATTGAACAGACAGCACTTTGATTATGTTTGAAGAATTTTCAATGAGAAAAAGGAGAAGAGATGAGAAAAAAAGTTACGGCTTCTATAATCTCATGAAGCAATTACCAAAAGTTTATGCCGTGAGATTTATCAGTAACTTTTTTTATGTAACTTCATGTTTTTTATTATTTATCAACCAATAATCATTGACTAGGAAAGGATACATTTGGACACAATGATATCCTTTCCTCCTTTTTAAAATTCTTTATGGTAGGTACACCTGGTTGCTTGATCAGAGTTTTCAGTGAGGTTATTGCTTTGGGTTTAGGTTGGTTGGCTTGTGTCTCTATAATGAACAATTTGTTTGCAGGAAGACACTCTTTGTTATTAAGTTATATGGAACGTGATGGATAGATGTGCGAGATAGGTTGAAACACATTTTACACTACACTTTATGAAACAGCGTGGGACATTAATTGAAAATCTAACTCATTTCACTTTATTTATTTCAAAATATACCAACATTCTTTACAACTTTGACATTTCAGTAATCACTTAGAAAAAAAAATCTTGGGCAAATCATATGGGAAGATAGTTATCTTCCGTCCTTAACAAATTTGACTGCTTTGGAAATCAACTCATAAATATTTAGCTAATATACACCCAGAGCAATGGATTGTGCAAAATTAAATGCCTCATTGAAACAATTAATTTCAAATGCTATGATTTATTGAGCATACTTTACTGGAAATTTAATAGAAATATGGACTCAAAGTAATTTGAGCAGAGGATGTTTGCACTGTCTTTGATTTCTGGCCAACATATGTTCTTTCTTACCCTGCAGGTGAACCTCATGAAAGAGCAAACTTCCAGGAAAGCTCTCTAATTGAATTTGTGGGTCAGAGTTTGATGAGAGGAGGCGATGACCACAGATTGTATAAAAACTAAATAAATAAATAAACAAAATGAAATAATCTTTTTATATTTCATATACCTCCTGCAGTTAAGCCCTCAGGGAAGAAAACGCCACTTCACTAAAAGCTGTTGTCATCATCTGTCCATTTCAAAAGAATACAGCTCATGCTTCTCAGAGCATCAGTAACCAAATATATCCTCCAGGCATCTGAAACATTCAGTCCTGCAATTTCCCGTAAGGGAACTTGTACTTGGGCTTTAAGCAAGAGTTTCACACAGCAGTAGAAGGCAGCAGGAATAGCCAGAAAGGCTGGGATGGGGAGTTGGAGAGGTGATAATGGAGTGGAGGTGGTGAAGAAGAGGAAGGTGATGAAAAAAATACCTACTCAGAGTCTTGAGTTAATTCAATCTATCTGCATTTGTAGCAGAAAGGACACTGAGGTAGGACTCTGAAGACCTGGGTTCTAGATCCCATCTGTTAACGTCCTCAAGAAAATCACTCTGTTGTTTGTTAGACTAATTTTCTTATCTGTAAAGTGAAATCAGACAAATAGGCAAGACAAATGCTAAGATTTCTTCCAATTTAGGCATTCATTAACTTTTAAACTTTATCTTACAGGTTTCTTTCTTCAATTCTGCAAAAGTCAGGTATCTTCCAAAAACAATTAAGCTTGAACACAGCTGAATTTTAATTTCCAAATACTTATTAATGATCAGTGAAGAACCATGTGGGTTTTGCTTTAGGTACATGTCTCTTTTGTGTTCATAATTCAAAATGTTTCCTAATTAAACCAAGCTTCTTGATTTTTATTATAATTTCTAAGATGTGTTATAATAATAAATCATTTCCCAAAATATTTTAAATCACACTTTCAAAACTACACTTTGGCTTCTAGGTAGGTATGAATTTTGTTGTCATTGTGTATTTTTACTCTCTCTACAATATTCTGTATCTAGGGAGAAACCCATTCTTGTCTTTTTTTTAGCCCAATAACCTAAGCATAATACATAATACAATTTATCTTATTTGACATTGAACGACTACCTCTTTCCAGGCATAGGATAGATGGTCTGGCCATGCTGATTTCAGAATGTACTCCTGGATCTGAACAGAAGATTGTTCCCAGTGACCTCTGAACTTCCCAAAAGTTAGTGAACATAAACTAAATCTGGGTTTCTTCATGTCTTAATGCTTCCTTCATGACTTAATGATGCTATATGCTCGTCCTTTTTTAGCCCAATAACTTAATGACTCCTTCATGTCTTAATGGTTCCTTCATGGCTTAATACTACATTTCGGCTGAGCATGGTGGCTCACGTCTGTAATCCCAGCACTTTGGGAGGCCGAGAACGGCGGATCACGAGGTCAGGAGATGAAGACCATCCTGGCTAACACGGTGAAACCCCGTCTCTACTAAAAATACAAGAAACTAGCCGGGCGTGGTCGCGGGCGCCTGTAGTCCCAGCTACTCGAAAGGCTGAGGCAGGGGAATGGCCTGAACCCGGGAAGCGGAGCTTGCAGTGAGCCAAGATCGCACCACTGCACTCCAGTTTTGGGGACAGAGGGAGACTCCCATCTCAATAGAAAAAAAAAAAAAGATACTACATTTCAATCTACTCAAAAAGAAACTTATATTTTTAATGCCAGCCTTTCAGCATATGGACAAATAGTGCACTCTAATCATAATGTAAAATAGGAAATACACAAATAATTACATGGATGGTACTGAAACATTGGAATTTTTTTTCCTTTTTTTTTAGCAACTGGCTTACTAGTTGTGTGTGTGTGTGTGCACATGTGTTTTCAGTTTTGTGTGACACTTAACATAGGGGCTTTCACCAGTACCCATACCTTGAGTTTCTCAGTTTTCTTTAATTAGGAAAGCATAAAAGACCTCATAATATAAGCATGAGGCATCGTACCATTGACATCAGCAATGTCACAGCGTTTTTCTGGTAGTTGGTTGTTGAAGACACTTCACTGAGCTGAATTCTAATATGGTGAAAAGACAATGGTAAAGCTTTGTTTTCTTGATTTCTTTTAGTGTTTGTTTAATTTTCCACAAAGTATTCTTGAGGTAATGGTCTTTGTACAGATGGATTTTATTTGAGAAGTGGTTCCAAGGAACAACAGGGGAGGAAAAGAATGAGATAACAAAGGAGAAAAATCTAATCCAAAGATGTTTTATTAAGTTGGTCCGCACTATGGGAAAATAGGGCTCAATTCTGAGGTTGAAACTCTTTGGATCTGAGCAGAATATGCTTCCAACTCTCTGCTCAAGAGACTGACTAATAATTTTACCCACTAGCTGCTACTCCCTATAATTCAAAGGCTGTCCAATGGTTGTTTAAATCTTTTGCACTTTCAGGCTGCTACATGCAGCTGGCTGTAGCCAAGACTGGAATTAAAAGGCTCACTGAGAGGATGTGGGCCAGGAATAAGGCGTGTTCAATACACAGGCCACATTAAATGGCATAAGGTAAGCGCTCAGTAAATGTTCATTATTTTTTGTGCCAGAAACTATGGTATGATTTGCAGTGATGTTCTCAGGACTGAATATTATTATTTTCATTTAATAGATAATGATTCCATGGCAAAAAGAAGAAAAGAGGAGAAGGGCAAGGAGAGGGAGAAAAAGTTAGATAATTTGTCCAAAGTCACAAAACTACTAAGTAGCTGAGTCAAGATTAACCCTCAGATCATCTGATTCCAGAAATCACCTGCTTTTTTGTTTAAGAGAAGTGGTATATCACAATGAAAAAAATCACTATCAGTCAGAAGTTGTGTGTGTGTGTGTGTGTGTGTGTGCGCTTCATCGTGGATAAAATGTAAGTTGTTAAGCTAGAAAGTGGGCTCAAGTGATGACTCTAGAACTTATCTGTGTGTCTTCGATCAAATCAGTCAAACTCTTTAACTATTAATTTATTTGTATGTCATACTCTTTTCTGAAACATATTTCTGGACTCCAATTATTTAATTTAATTTATATTATATTCTGTGGAATTTTTTTTTTTTTTTGAGACGGAGTCTTGCTCTGTCACCCAGGCTGGAGTGTAGTGGTGTGATCTTGGCTCACTGCAACCTCTGCCTCCTGGGTTCATGCGATTCTGCTGCCTCAGCTTCTCGAGTAGCTGGGATTACAGCTGTGCACCACCATGGCCGGCTAATTTTTGTGTTTTTAGTAGAGACAGCATTTCACCATGTTGGCTAGGTTGGTCTTGAACTCCTGACCTCAGGTGATCCACCTGCCTTGGCCTCTCAAAGTGCTGGGATTACAGGTGTGAAGCATCATACCCGGCTGTAGAATGTTTTAAATTAGATCAGAGTATCTCAGACTCAGAACCACTGACATTATGGGCCAGATAATTGTGGCTGGGGAAGGTTGTCCTGTGCATTGTAGGATACTTTAGCAATATTCTTGGTTTCTATCTACTAAATGCCAGTACAACTTCCCTCTCAGTTGTAACAACCAAAACTGTTTCCAGACATCGTCATATGTCTCTTGGGGGGGCGGTGCAAATACCAGCCTCCCATTCCCATTTAGAACTGCTAACCATTGAGCTGGGTGATACTGAAGACACAGTTATGACTTACATATGTTTTATTAATGTTATTCCCAAGAAGGCTAATACAATTTTTTGGAATATAGTCTACAATCAAAGTTTTGTATAAAAGTTTATCTCATAAAATATTAAAAATCAGATGGCTCATTTTGGATCTCAGGAACTGTTACTGCAGATTATTTTGAGCTGAAGGAGACAGGGGGGCCTCAGAAACAAGAAGATTTCTCTGACTTCCTCCTGCCTTTCTGTCTCCTGCTGCTCTTTCTCCTCCAAATCTAGCCATAGAAACCAGAATTCCTCCTACCAAGGTAGGTCATAAAAACTAGAATTCCTCTCCCAATGCAAGCCATAAATCATAGAAAGGTCACTCTCTGACCTTTTCCCTTCACCTTTGAAGAACTTCAGGTGTTTTTACCTATGCCTGGAGGAAAGGAATGCACAAAGAAGCCAAGAAGAATCTGAAAAAAAGCAGTCCTTGCTAAGTTCTCCCTAGTTTATTACCATGGGATCATATCCTTTTTGTCCAATCATGTTTCTCCACAATTATTCACTTCTTTCTTCATAATTAGCATAAAAACACATTTTTCTCTGGGTCTTCAGGTCTTTGTCTCTGAAAGCTCCTGCATCATATAAAACATTGTTAAATTATTTTCTATGCTTTTCTCTTGCTAATCTGTCTTTTGTTACAGGGATGTCAGATGAGACCTCACTATGAGTGATGAAAAGATATTACTTTTTGCCATACATTTTTGAGAGTTTCTGAACACCAACTATTGATCTGCCAAGCTCAATCATCAATTTCCTTTGATGCATTCAGATTTTGTCCATTTTATCATTTAGCTTTCCAACCTTGAGCAAGATCTTGAGTTTGTCATTTCACTTTGATTATTAAACAAGTAGCACAAATAATAACATTGCTCTCCATACACTAACAATAAATGCCTATCAAATAAAATACCTGTTTAACACACTGCTAAATTTATAATGGCCATTATTATGCATAATCACTATGCTTCTTAAGAGAATCAAGTATGAGTTTCAAAACCATGTCTTCTGCATAAGGATTTTAGATATTTTTTGCCTTCTCTGCAATTTTGATAGTTTGCTTGCAGTTTGCTTTTATCCCGTGACAAACTCAAGAGAAATCAATTTAATTTGAAATAACAAGTAGTCATTAGTTATTTTCTGTTGCGAGGATTAAATGAGCTTGCATCAAGCACTGTGTTAAATAAAGCTTTGCATACACTAAGTAATTCTGGACAAAATGACAGTGATTGTTTGCCTGCTCCTTTACTCCTTCCCCTTCCATCATAGGCCAGACACTTGATAAGCATTTTTGGAGATTCATAGTTAGATTTGTACCCGAAGAAGTTGATAGTATAGGAAAGTAATACTTCTCAAATTCTAATCTGCATATGAATCAACTAGGATACTGATAAAATGCAGATTCTGCTTTTGTAGGTCTAAGTTGGGGTCTGAGACTGAATTTCTATCAAGTTCAAGGCGATGCCAATCTTTCTGATACAAGGACAACTCGTTGAGTTGCGAGGTAACGGGACGGTCATCATGTTATGAGAAAGATGTCAATCCTTTCTAGCTGAAGGGATTTAAGAATGGCTTGGTTGGTAATCTATTCTCCCTGAGGCCATAGACGAAACTCAGTGTCTGGTACAGAGTAAGATCTCAAAAATAGATGAGTGAAGAAAGCATTTTAATGTGTGTCAGTCGATGTGTTTGTTTGAAAGTGTTCAGATGGAATTCAAAGGTATTTCAGATGGTCAGCATAAGTCGCAGAGGCAATAGAGGTCAAAACAGTGGTTCTCAAAGTGCGGTCCTCTGGACTAGCAGCATCAGCATCTTTGGGAAATTTGTTAGAAATACAAAGTCTGAGGTCCCACCCACGTGTACTGAAGGAGAAGATCTGGGGGTAGGGCCCAGCAATCTGTGTTTTAGCAAACCCACCAGGTGATTCTGATGCACATTAAAGATTGAGAACCACTGACTGAAAACACAGATGCGAATTCAGATTACTTGGAGTATGGGATATATGAAGAAGAAGAAAAGAAGGTCTAAATGGATTACAACATCGAGGATGTGACTGTTATCTCCAACATTCCATTGATTATAATCACAGGACTGACAAGGCCAAAAAACATATTCCTCCCACTCCACCCCATTCTCAATATCCTAAGCAATTAACATATCCCACACGGATACATCTTGCCTCATCAAAGAAGTACAGGAATAAAGATTGACTAGGAGGGACAGGGAATTTAGAGAAAGCAGAAGCTGCAGCGGAGAGGAGGTAAGGATAGGCTCATAGGAAATACTGTGAGCCAGCTACGATTTAGAGGTGGGGAATGGCCGAATGAACCAAAAAATGGGTGTTGGAGAGAGAGAATACAAATATAAGCCCGAATCCAGGAGGCTAAATAAGACATCGGAGAAAGGCTAAAATGAGAAGAGACTGAAGCTCTGCAATAATTGAAAGAAACAGAGCATCCACGAGAAGAGGACTCTTGCTGATCTTAAAGAGACTTTAAGTTATGGAGGCACAAGTTAAACACTGTAATTCCACACACCAATGCCAGAATTGCCTCTCCCAATGACAAATTTGTCAGCCGAGCACACAAAGAGTCCTTGTGTAATGGACAATAAAGCACCTGTTGCCTACTTTTTAAAGTATAAATGGGGTTTTCTTGTTGTTTTTGTTAAATTCTGAATAATTTCTTTAATAAAAGCTAAGACAACAGAGTCTTACTACTTAAACTATTTAAATTTGTGGAAACGAAATGTTTCTCAAACTCAGCAGATGGCCAAAATAGACACTTTCCAAAAAGCTTGGGAGGGAAGAGGGAGGAAAGGCCCAGCAATGGTGAAAGGGAAAGAGCCCCATTTTAAATAAAAGAAATACAGTTGTAGCTCCAGTTCTGCCACTATGTCTGTGACTTTTGGTGAGTTGCTTCCCCACTGTCTATTTCTGTTTCCTTATTCATTGCAGTCCAAGACCTTACTTTTCCTACCAAGTCTTAGTGTTAAACATATTAATCCTTGAGAAAGTTATTTTAAGATTACAAAGGGCTAGATACAGTATTGAGAAAACTTATCTAAAACAAATCTTACCTCTTTTCTCTCTCCTGGCTCTTCGCTCCTCTGATTCTCTGAATTTTTGCAAAAATTCATAAATTAGCCACATTTATATACATGCTTGTAAAAAATTATCATTTGTTTTGCAGTTATTCTTTTTGAAATATCTAACCGTAATTTTCTCCAAAATTTTCGGAATATGAGAATCATCAATATTGTCAAATGAAAAATAAATGTTTTGTCAACCTGGGAAAAATATATGATTTATTAATGAAACTGCAGGCTCTCAATTATTCGTATTTTTATTTCTTTACTTATCCTATGCATTTATTATTTATTGATAAATAAATAAAAGGACATGCATTTTATCTTTGTTACACACTATTCGCTTTGGAAGAAGTCATTGAGCCTTTGTTTCTGTATCTACAATATTAGCAAAGTGTTCATCATAATAAAAACTAATATATATGAATATTGACATGTGCACCTACTTAAATTAATTAAAATATAATACTTTCTAAACTCATCAGATGATTGAGTCTGGCACTTTCAAAATAGCTTGTGTAAACAGATCATCCAGGTGCTTCACCTGAATTGTTTTACTTGTTCCTCACAGTGCCCCTAAGTGCTCCTTTGCTTTCACTTCTGATGAAGAATTAAAGCTTCTTTTCAGGAGTAAGATTCCAGAGTCTTTACTCTTGGCCACTACCCTGTGGTCTGTATGGAATTAACCTTATCATCATTCTTGGATGTGGAGGTGGACATTGTTTCGTTTCTAAAACATGACGCATGTTTTCTCCAGCACCTGGCATGCATATTTCATAGCAATCCATAGGTACTTAATAAATTATTATTAAATAAATGTATTACACTTTCATATGGCAATTTCTGAGTTTAAGGGGAGTGACCAGTTAGGCAACAGGGAAACAGAACACATTAAAAAACAAACAAACAAAAAAACAAACAAAAAAAAATCCACACAGATAGACTTGGCATTGCACATAGAGTTGGCATTAGGTAATTCAAGGTCAACACAAATGTCTTTTCTTCATTCAATCAACATACATCTGAGTTTTGAGACATGGGTTAGTATTAGCCTGGATAGGGAGGGGACGTCTAAGCAGACACACGGAAGCATTGGTGGATAAGTTATAACATAAGAGTTATGTTTTGAAAGTGATGGGAACAAAAATGAAGAATGAGATTGCAGTTTTAAGCAAGATGTAACATTCATTGGTAAAGCATTTGGAAAATATTCTGGGGATAAGGCATTCCAGGGGAAGAGTGACAAGTTCATGATTCCATACGTGGAAGATCATTCTAGTGGCTGTATGGGAAATGGACAGAAGAAGACTAGACTTGATATGTGATATACAAGAAAAAGGCTATTAAAACGGCTCAGGGGAGAGATGATGGGGCTTGGAATGAAGGCAGAGACATCAGTGGGAATAGAGAAAAAGTGTGAGAGTGAATATATATATATATATATATAACATATATACAGTATTTTTTTTAAAAAGACTTATCTCACAGCCAGAGGTAAGAAGAAAAAAAGTGGTTGACCAAATGGCCAGCTATGCCCCCCAAGATTCTGAAGAAGCACTGCTTAGTACCAGACTCCTTGGCTTGTCTCCAAATTAAATTTTGTAGTCTTTCTTATTGCCTTATTAATTGTCCCTATTCTTTTCTTAGCAGCATAAGGCAACATGAATTTCAGGCACTAAAATTCAAAATCAAGATGCGTAGAAGAAATATCACTAACTGGAGCTTCAACAAGTATTAAACTCCTACTAAACATACTTAATTTAGAATTAATAAGGTGATGGTATGGAAATTAAATCCCCTATGATTGTCAGGGAAGAGCACCTATTGAGGTATAAATATATGAAAGATAAATCTACTTGCAATGTAATTAATTCAAATCTGCAGAACCAATAAGTGTGTGACGATGTTCTTATTATTACATTACACTTGTGAGAAATGCTCAGGAATTTAATTAGCATTTACCCATACAACTAAGGAAAATGAGATATTAAGCATGCTATCTAATTAACTGGCTATAGATGGCTTGTTAAATAAATATTAAATGTATAAACACTTGAGACTAGCTTGGAAGTGTTGCCCTAACTAGATATCCATTTACTTATGAGTTTTTCCCCCAAAATAATGGTAATTTTAAGAACTAAAAATACACAGAGGCTTCCAGTGGAGGTTACAGCCTTTATGTGACTGTTTTCCTTTTCAGCTCAATTAGGCCTTTGTCCTCGCCTTCTTTTCCAAATTTAAGCTATAGTTTAAACTATGAGATCACATGCATTATGCAAGCAGGTTTTTACAACACTCTGGTCAGTTTTCTTAGAGTGTCAATATCTCCATTTTACAGATATGGCTGCTGAAATGTGGACATGCTAATTTGTTCCATGTCACACAGCAAGACAATGTTGAATGCTTTATTATTGCAGCATTTCTAAATACCGACTATCCCTACAAAGCAGTCATGATGATATTGATGTAAATCAAACATCATTCCTCTATTCAAAACTCCTCAATGACCTTCCATATCATTAAGAGCAAGTGCTTTAATTTTTAAGGCTCTTCATGAGGTGGCCACTGCTAACATTCTCTGCAACTTCAGATCCATCACACGTTTGAGCTCATGTCCTACCAACTCTCCCTTTTATTTTATCTACTACTGGTGCTCGTGTGGTCACTGTTCCTGGACCATCGTAGGCAAGTTCCAGCATCAGGACTTTCATTGATGCTGTTTTTTCTTATTCCCTCAGTTACTTCCTATCTCTACTCAAATATTACCTTATCAACGAGAGGGAGTCCAAAAAAGAAGGGTCTCATTTCTACCATTCCCATCCCTCTAACTTCCTTTATTTTTCTCTGATCATAGCACATACTACAAATTTGGCATGTTTATTTGTCACTTGTGTGCCACCCCTCACTGGACTATAAAGTCCACAAGACCAGGAATTCATGTTTGTGCATTATTATATCCCTAGCACAAAAAGTAATGATGCCCGGACATGGCTTATTTAATGAAAAAAAAAGAACGATCTGTGAACGATAGCATCTATATGCCACACTAGAAGGTTCCAATTGGTCACAATAATCCCAATTTCTACATTTTTCAAAGTTCATGTTGAGCAGTATAATGTAATACATGGTTAGAAATGGGTCTGGCTCTTTGCTTATTTTTTTTTCTTGAATCTCGACATAGTCCCTCCTGCTCATTAATGATAATTTATGTATTCCTTGAATCGAGTTTATTGTGCATTCTATTACTCAACTACTTTTTGATATTTTCATTACATACTCTCTCCAATTCAAAAGGCTTCAAATTCAACCAATTACTTCAAAATCATCTGAGATTGTTTAAAAAGGAATTCTACAAGTCAAGGATTTATTTTTTGTGCATTGCTACATTTTCAACTCTGGAAGTTTATATCATCTTTTTAGGATAGATCTCGGAATCTTTCTTGTTAAGATGGAGAATTGGAATGTGTGATCACTAAGATCATTTCCAGGGAATGGACAGATACTTCGCAAACCAATATTTAACTTCATGGATGTTTCTAGAGTATTGTCTAATATTTTAAAACATCTAATATCTTATTAATATGTCTCCCATTCTGTAAAGTAGAGGTGATTAATCCTCTAGGGAAAAAAATGACAAGGTCTATAAAAATGTAAGGTTTAGTTTAGTTTGTTTTGTTTTATCTCAGTGTTTTGATTATCATCTTTGGATGATATGGGTGGATAGCAGCAGGATGGTCTTGAAGGCTTAAAAAAATACATCCAAGATGTTACGGAGATTAAGTCAAGTGTTAGAAAATGAATTTTTGTAGTAATTAGATGAAAAGAGAACATAAATGGGGAAACAGTTGTTTCCAAACATCTGAAAGATTGTCTTAGTTAAGAAACTTAAGTTTGTCTGTTTTTGCTTTTCTCTTTATCCCAAGACAGTAGAGCAAGTACCAATGAGAACTCAGATGGCACTATGGAGAGTCTACCTTGGCATAAGTACAATAAACATGTTGTCTGTATATAACAGTTTAAACAGAAAAATGAATTAATTCTACTTAGAACTTAGGCAATAGAGACAAGAACAAAAAGGCCCACCATTTTCTGAAGATGTAGAAAAACACATGGATGGAAATATACCAATAATTTGTAATTATATTGCAGAGTTAACAATGGGAAACAAAAGCAAGACATAAATATGAAGTTGTTTCTAAATAATTATAACATGTAGAATCACAGGCAGATGAAGTGAGAGATTAATCAAGCCTTAGTGAGTTTCACATATCTGGAGGGTATTTAAATGGAAGTTGGATGATATTTACTTGTGATGCTATGAACATTATTTGAACCAAAAACAATTTATTTCCTATAAAGTTTCATCTAGCCCTGGTTTTCAATGAAATTACAATTACAATTTATTTCACTTGAGAAATAATGAATGCCTAAAATTTACTCTCAAATAGTGTAGCAAATAAATATGAACATGAGTATAAATAAAAATATGCATATGATTCCTCTTTAATAATCTCGGATGATATTTGAGGTAATTTGGTTAAATTTAAACTCTGTTGAATTGGAGAGAGTATGTAATGAAAATCTCTAAAAGTAGATGGGTGATAGAATGCACAGTAAACTTCATTCAAGGAATACATAAATTATCATTAATATGTATGAGGGACTATATCAAGATCCAAGAAAAAAATTAAGCAAAGAACCAGACCCATTTCTAACCATGTATTATATTATATTGTTCAACATAAACTTCGAAAAATGTACAAATTGCGGTTATTGTGGTAAATCAGAACCTTCTAGCGTGGCAAAAATGCCATTGTTGACAGAGCATTATTTTATGTTTTTCATTAAATAAGCCATGTGCCAGCCACTGTTACTTTATTTGCTGGGGATATAGTAATGAACAAATGTGGACAGAAAGACAAAATAGGGATACAATGACAATATAGTAAAATTTTAATTGGCATGACTAGGTGAAGGGTGTAAAGATAGTCATTGTACTATTCCTTTAACTTTTCTTTAGTAACAATTTCCTTATAATTTTTTCAAAATAAATAACAAGTTAAAACCACATGTTTAGGAATGGCCTTCCTAACTAGCAACATAGAAGAAAATATGTGGATATTGAGCATCTCTTAATTCTCAATGTATTTTTATTAAAATGTAAACAAACTTTAGATTGATAATTAATTTCCCTTTTTCTCAAGGATCCCCAGAAATTGTTTCATTTCTATTTTTTCCTCAAAAACAGGACTTTTGTATCAGTTCCACATGTATATTTTCCATATTTTTTCCAACATCTGTAATTAAGAATCCTTAAGACAATTGTTTCCTTTTTAGTTCATATTTAAATTGTGAACAATGTAAATACTGGTTGAAAGAATAAAAAATTTGATTGACTCAGAGCTTCACTCTTGAAAATAAGACTATAACAAAGACAGAATAAATAACATCATGTTCATACAGCATATTGGGGATAAAGTTACTTGGAACTTGGTATTATTCCAAAGTGACACAATGAGGTCTTTGAGTAGCTAAACTACATAAGACAGTAAAGGAAGTTTAAATTTAAATTTCTCTACCTTTGGTTGTATGATTGTGGTCTTCATTCTTTGTCAACTTGGCTAACTAGAACTGTCAACTCAGAATCACCTTCCCTATGTGGTTTCAGATTAAGACTGGGAAAAACAGAAACTTATAAAAAATAATTTTCTCATTTTTTAAAACTTTTTTTTAGATTAATTTTAGAATTGTAGAAAAGCTACAAAGATACTATAGAGGGTCACCATATGCCTCTCAGCTGGCTTTTCCTAGTGTTATCATCTTATAAAGGCATGGTACATATGTCAAATCTAAGAATGAATATTTGGTACAATATTATTAACTGTTTGGTAGAGTATCATTAAGTAACCTATGGAGAGGGGGTCTGTTTGTTTTCCTGTTCCAATTTCCCATCCAAGATACCATATTACATATCACATTTAGTGGGCATATCTCCTTAGACTCCTCTGATCTGTAACAGTTTCTCAATTTTTCTTGTTTTTTATGAACTTAATAGTTTTGTGGAGTAGTAGTCAGGTGTTTTGTAGAATATCCCCCAAACTGAGTTGATGTTTTCTTATTATTTGACTTGGGTTATAGTTTTTTTGCGGGGAAAAACATAGAGGCAAGGTGCCCTTTTATTATATCATAGCAAGGGGTATATGCTATCCATATGACTTATTATTGATATTTTGAAACTATGTCACTTGTTTAAAATGGCGTTTGAAAGCTTTTTACACTAAAAAATTTTTTTTTCTCTTTTCATACTCTATTCTTTGTGTGAGAGTCACTGATCCCAACCCACACTCAAGAGGAAGTAAACTAAGCTCTGCTTAACAGAACAGGAAGAATCTACATATATTATTTGGAATTTTTCTGTAAAAAAGACTTTTTCTTTCTCACTAATTTATTTATTTGTTCAATCATTTATTTGTATCAGCATGGACTCATGAATATTTACTTTATTTTTTGGGTTAAAATTCAATATTTTGTCCCAGAATTCAAACTCTTTTGTTTGGTTTCTCTCTCCTTTTGACAAGGTCCCATCTTTCTTTTGCTGTTGTTTTTTTGTTAATTCATCACCTCTTTGCTTTCTAGTAGTCCAAGATGTTGTAGGTTTGTCTTGCTTGTATCTTTCCAGTTCTCATTCTAGATTCAGTCATTTTTCTAAGAATCTCTGGTTCCTTTTATTTTAGAAAGGTACATACCATTTTGAATGCTAAAATGAAACAGAGGCCGTTATTTTCTGAAATTCGTTATAGTCAGATGCAATGATGGACAGATCTAGAGGTGGCCAAAAAGCTCCAGATTATTCTTGCTCTCCTTTCTTCTGACTTTTTCCTGACTGATGATCCTGTTGCAGAACAGGCTTCAGGACAACCACTGTGTGCTTGTCTGTAGACTCACAGTAGTAGTTATGCAGAACCAAAAAATTCCCATAGATCTACCAACAAGCTTTCCTTTTGCTGTCCCACCTCAGAAACTGAACATAGCCAATGACTATCTCTCTGATCCTCTAATTCCCTTTTTGAACTTTCACTTCTCCAGTTCTTTTCCCAGTTGTAAAATATTTTATTTTTGTGATAATAAAACATATTCCATAATACTCATAGTGACTCTGCTCCTAGAAATAGTTCAGACTAGAGAAGTGAAAATTTATTTTAAGTTGTTTCTCTAATCTGACTAAATATAAAGGTATTGATTAACCTGAAGCCAATAGAATATTGGAAACTGGTGTTACATAGAATGTGTGGAAAAACAGGTACTTAAATTGCCATCTGTAGTCACCTGCATTTGAATGCCAATAGCATATTTTAGTGGAAATAAATAGTATAATAGGGTTGGTTGATTTTCTCTATGTGTGCTTATGAAACTTGAAAGAAGAAAATGATGAGCTCAGGGTTTTAAATTGCCAGGTCAATATCTAAATAAGGAAAAAATTTTTTCTGTGTTTGCCCTAAATGCATTTCTTATCTTCTATAGCAAATGGTTTATAATTCCAGGAAATTAAACCCAAATTGTAATCTTTGAGGACCAAATTTACAAGATAAATTAAAATTACAATATTATGGAGTCTCATGTTAAGGTTATGGCATTGATTGTTACAGTCTGATACCTTCAACACTGGGATGGGGAATGATGTAAAATTTTAAAGAAACTTTTCTTTAAAATTTTGGGGACTTTGCCCCCAAAGTTTTGGTTAGTGTTCCCCTGTCTAAGAAATTTAGTACACCATTTTCTAAAGAAATAAGGTAGTTTTCCTGCAGGGTACCCTGGCTCCTCCTCAAAATCAGTGCTTACCACCTCTCCTCGCTTCCAAACATATAAATAGGCTCAACTTCTATCAGGCCCTAAGGGTTTGTACACAAAGTATGACTCATGGGACAGCAGCATGCCTATCAAAATAATTGCATAATTTTGCCTATATATATATGAAAAAACTTGGGGTTTCCTCAGTTCTGAAATGCATAGTTGAAATGGAACTGGCTAATTCTCCACATTGATGTCTCTGAAATGCAAGACATTATAGTAGGAAAGGGCAAGTTGAAGTCTCTAGAACTATCTTTTCTCCATCTTAAAGCAAAAGCAAACATGAATTTCTGGAAGGATTGCAGAGATTAGAGCCCCACACACACAAAAAGAAAAAAAAAGAAAGAAAACTTGAAGACTCCTGCCATGTCTATTCATCATGCCTATTTGGCCTGTGTAGAACACAGATGGATCTCACAAACTAACAGTAGATGACCCTAAAACTTATCAGGTGGTTATTCTCACTGTAGCTGCTTTTAAAACTGTGGCTTTTTTGCTGTAGTCAATGTTGTTCTCCATCTCAAAGTTTTAACCATACTAGTCTTCATCTTCATGATACCAAACTGTCATTTCAGTCTGTTTTACCAACTGTTTACCTTTCCTAGAAAATGTCTCCAGATATTATGTAGTTTTCTGCCTTAAAATCACTGTCCAGTTCCACTTCTTTGTAATATGCAACAGATGATACCAACCTGTTTTCCTCTGTTGGAATGCTAGGTTTTCTGACTCATTGTTTGACACTCTTTCTTACTCTTCTTACTATTTCTGGGCCTCAGCTTACCAACAAAATGGGTGTTTGGCACTGATTCTGGTAGGAAGCATCAAGATAAAAAAAATTCAAGATATTAAAACATGTTTAGTTCTGCCTCAGAACCAGATATCATACTATATTATATCACCAAAACCTCAGACCAACTTTACGTGGTATTACTAGTCCCTATTTACAGGTACGAATACTGTGATACCAAGACTTTGGATGACTTGGTCAGAAGTGACAACTAGATACAAAGGATGCCCATTTGTTTGATGCCAGAGTTGGCCTCTTAAGCCCCACTTTCTCCTTTTTAATGTTGTGGGTTATTCAGCCTTTAAACTCACAAAATGCTTCTCATAAACATATTTCCCCTTGTACTATTAGGTTTTATTACAAAAATTGGGTTGAATACAGATAGGTTTAAAATCGCTTCATTGAATCACATTGAATAGAATAAAAAAGAAAGAAGAAAGGGAATTCCACTTTTCTTCACTGCTGAGATCATCATTTGGCAAAAAGAAATAAACGTATTTGTCAGAATTTCTTGAAAAAATAGACCAGATACTTGACCCATATTTCCTTGGCCACCACATCTGAGAAAAAAACCTGGATCATAATAAAGTCAGAATTTTTTCTCCCCTCCAAGTCCTAACATTGTGTATCCAATTTGCTCTGGGAAGCTGAGTGGCTTTGAGGACTACCTTCTTTTCTGCCAACAAAATATTACAATTTCACCAGCTTCTTCTTCATCTGAAAATAGGCTTGAAAGAAAACGTAGGTGTTTATCAGGCAAATAATTCCAAATTATAAGAAAAAAAGCTAATAAAATGGTAGAAAATCTCTTCATGCTACATTTATAACAGCACCATGTAGAGCACATTCCACCACCTCCCCATTTTTACTACCCCCTTACCACTGCACATGAGCACGCACACACACACACACACACACACACACACACACACACACACATACACATACACTCCTGTGGTATGGAACTGAGGTCTTTCGTTCAGGGTAATAACATAAAAGATGGAGCCACTGAAGTTTGAAAGGGAAGGTTATTTCATTACTATTAATTATTTGGCTACTTAATTTTATCCATTTTGGACTTGCGGGTGGCAGTGGTATTGATTTCGTCAATGTGCCTACGGCTGTCTATTTTGCACGAAAATTATTGATAGTCTTCATTTCAACTTGTATTTTGGTGTGATTCTCTTTGCCCAGCATGGGTGAAGCACACACCATTTAAGTCTTATCTGTGGTGCTAAATGCGTGACACTCGTGATCTCATTTAATTATGGCAATTAATCCCCACAATGGGCATGCTGGTGCAAAATGGTCATACTCTTATTTCTATTTTGATGATGAGTATAGATGGGGCCCAAATATACTGAACACTCTGCTCAAGATTCAGTATTTAGTAACTATTGGAAAGGGGATTGAAACTTGGGCTTCTTTGTGCTTGTAATTACTGCCCTCCATTCATGTAACTTTTCTTGATTGTTTTCTCTAATTATTCTCTTTTTATAGCTGCTTTATTTCCTTACACTCATCTGTCTTAACTATGTATTATCATATGAGTCCCTTCACCTAAGAATTCAGTCAGACTATTTGTTTACTAATACACAACCAGTATGAGATGACGTATCTAAAATATAGATTACTGTGAGCAGTAAATCCTTGTATTTATTTTCAAGAATGACATAAAGGAGATATACAGAGCTAAAATGTTTTGCGATGACATAGGAGTGATTGATCTTCACTTGCTATGGGGCAATTGGGGAAAGCTTTTCAAAGCAGTTGGCATTGGAAATGAGCCTTGAAGAATAGATAATGATAATAGCAACAACAATTTGTAATGCTCAGGAAGGTGGAAAAGGCGGGTAGATGAAATAGAGGGAGGTTGTGTTTAAAAGGGTATTCCAGTGTCCTTCTAAACCAATAAACACACACAAATATTCTCGCAATGCTGAATTTCCTAATATGTTTGTCACTTAACTTCAGGTCTTTGCAAGTTAGTTTTTAAAAAGTTAAATGCTGAAAATCAGAAAGCTGTCAGGAGTGAGGAAGAGAAACAGTGACATCTCTCCTGACCCGGCCTAAACTAGAACACACAGATGGGAAAGAAGACATGCCGATTGTTGGCTTGAATACTGTGCAATGAACCGGAGAGGATGATCTGGTGCGACAGCCTGGAATGTGTCAGAGGGGATTAGGGACAGAGGTCAAAGGTGGCCGCAGAGTGCCTCACCAGCTGACAGTTCTGGAATGAAGGTCTCCAGCAGACAGCCCCATGAGATGCCCAAGAGGCAGTGGGCTCTTCAGGCTAGCCAGTGACTGCCACAGCAGATGGGGAGGCCCTGGCAGCAGATTCCCAAATGTGCTTAGTGTGTTTGCCTAAAGGCATGAGCACATTGGTATCACAGGCTTTTTTTTTTAGGGGGATATATCAGCTAATCTAAATCAGCTAGACCTATTTACGCTTCCAAACTGTGAAGCAAGACTCCTCCCAGGTAAACCTAGTGTCTTTTGGTTGCATTTTTTAAAGTTGTTGATAGTTTCAAATGCTGATCATCTCACCTTATGCAACCTAAGCTGCATATGGGGGGGAAAAAAAAACTTTGTGGAGGAGGAGATGAAATTTTTGGCACATTCTGGGGGTGGCAAATGGTGAGTACTTAGATTTGAATGCCATCACAGCAACCTGTCTATATTTGGCTACTCTTCAACAATTTATCTTCATCAACTTTGTGCTTGCACTGAGGTGGAAACACTTCTTTCTCTCCAGCATCTGTAGACACTGTGATTCTCTCCTCCTCACTCAATTCTCCAGAATTTAGGAAAATATTCCTTTCCATGTTAATGATTATGCTTGGTGTGTTTCTTTTTAATTTTATGGAGGGATGAGTGGTTTCCAGCAGAAGAAAAATAGAGTAAAGCAACCACCACAACAAAACAGAAGTAGAGAGACATATGCCTTCTCACACAGGCTGCCTTAACCCTGAACAGACTGCGTGGTGCTTCAACCTCACATAGATTCTAAATTACTGGTGCCTGCACAGACAAAATGTCAGGGTCTACCCTAGCTTTGCAATTCAGTTTAGTTATAGGTGCAGCCATTTCTGAAGATTTTTTTGTGTGTTTTCTTAGAATGTATATTTTTTGTTCATTTTGCTGCTTTTTAACAAGGAAAGAAGAAAAGCAAAGACTCAATGTAGCAATTCACTATTAGATGCCAATTAATTGCTAAGCATTTTGTAAGTGTTATCTAACTTGTTTGACTGCAGTCTTTGGCATTAAAACACAGATTAGTTATGTAGAATGTTTCATGTGATTTATTAATTAATAATGAAATATAGAATATGAGTTGACAAAGGGCTGCTCTTTATATATACATAACAAAATTATTGCAAAGTTTTGTAAATGTAGGAAATTTATACAAATGCATTCACAATATGCATGCCTTTCTCATATACACATGACTTCATAAAGTTACATGGGACATATGTGTATCCTTAGATTTCTTCATCCATCTGGGCTTCACATTCATTATGTATAAAAGAATTAGGGATTCTGTAACTCAATCCAAGATCCCTTCATGAACTAATGACCTAAAATTAAAAGTCCAAACTCTCAAGGCATGAAATTTTGGTTTATTGTGATGTGCAGCTAGAGTCTTAAAAACAGCACAATAATTACAACAATAGCTTTTGTGAGAAGTGAAAAAAGAGGCAGGGAATGGAAATGGGCAACAACCTGTATGAGCACTTACCTTTGATCAAAGTACCAGGTGCTTGCATCATCATATTTTTTTCTAATCCTCACAACATCTCATTTTAAACATATTTCTTACACACAAGGATATGGAAACAAAGGGGGTTTAGGTTAATGACCACACACAGAGTTTATAGGTAACTGGGATTCAAATTCTCATAAACAACTGTCCTGGGTTTATTAACCCTTGCTATTTTCCGAGTGATTGGAAAAGTCCTTGAGATATGACGATAATGAGAATTAGCCTCTGCTGTCACGAACTGCAGTTCTTAGCAGAGCTGAAAAGCAATCACGTTAACAGTATCAGTTTAAACCTTTATTATTCGACCTCAGCAGGGAAAATTCAAAGGAAATTCCTTTGAATTGAACGTATATAGTAATTATTTTTAGGAAGAGTGTATATGAGTAGGTAATGGGTTTGAGGGGAAAAAAAAAATTGGAAAGAAGGAATTCCAAAGAACAGAAAATACAGCTTTATGCCTGGGCTGTGGAATAAATATTTCCATGAATTCTCTAGCCCTGTGGAGATGGCTACAGAGTTCTTTTTCTCACTTTGCTTGGCATCTCTTCTTTCTCATTCTGCCAAACTCTAGCATAGTAATTAAGCCCACAGAGCCCTTCAGTGTGTTACATACGCACCCCTTCACATAGAGCTAGACAGCGTTACATACCAGGGAGCCAGTGGTTCATAACTCGAGGAAACATCTCCATTGTTGCACCTTGTGCTGGGCACAGACAAGAGTCTCCATTTACTTTTACATTTCCTGGCACAATATAAGCCCTGGAGTATAATGGATTATGTTACATATATCAAATTATGAAATGCACAATTCTTTTTAAATTTCTCTAAAGGGTGCCCTCTTATTTTTTATGCATTCTAGGGCTGTGCTAGATATAAATTTATCATTTGAAATTCAAATGGTTATAGTTACAAAGCTGCTGACTCGTAAAAACAGGAAATCTAGCATATATCAGAATCTGAAAGCAATGCATGATTTGCTGAACTTTTATGATAATTTCAATAAATTACTGAATTAGCTCTGTAGTTTTACAAATATGCTTAAAAATGTTCAAATGTTTACAGCAAAGAATAACACTTTTTTTGGTCTTTTGCCCTACTTGGAAAATAAATTTCAGCTGACAAGCAAGTTTGAGACCTGCAGCCACTCATCAAAGAACAATAAAATTTGATTATTTACATTTTTGCAAGGTCCACTGGAAAACTAACTTAAACAGTTATTACCAATCTGGCTCTTACAGCTTTTCCATATTCAAAATGTCTATTGACCAGCATTTTTTTTCATGAGAAATCTTTAGAATTTAATCTAAAATTTATGCAAAATGGTTCAGATTGATATAATTTTACAGGATTTCACTCTGACCATTAGAAATTGGAATTGGAAAGAGACCCAGGATTCCAATGAGGACTGAAACAGAAATGCATGTCAAAGACTATTTAGTATTTTGCTGACATCTGCACCATCTATTGATTCTATTTATGTAAATATGAACCAATTGTATCACCATACGATATTCTGTTGAGTTTGTCCCCCCTCATCTAGATGTGTAAGCAATTTGCTAGGTTTCGTTATCATTTTTAAGTGTAGATGACTCAGAGTCTCAGATTAAATAACTCCCTCCTTCACAATTTTTTTTATTGTCCAGGTTTTAATAGAAACAATGAGCTAATTCTGTATATCAGGATTGGGAACCACACATTTTTACTTTGTCTATAGGTTTGAATTTACTGGTTAACTGTTAGTATCTACATCATTGAACAGATATCTCTTCCTGCATCTCTTATTGATGCATTTGTTTTTTCACTGTTATGAATATCACAAGACAAACCCCTACAAACTACCTCCTTTGGGCAAGAAACTTTTTTTTTTTTTAAGACAGAGTCTCACTCTGTTGCCCAGTCTGGAGTGCAGTGATGCAATCTCGGCTCACTGCAATCTCTGCCTCCCGAGTTCAAGCAATTCTCCTGTGCCAGCCTCCTGAGTAGCTGGGATTACAGGTGCCTGCCACCATGCCTGGGTAATTTTTGTATTTTTAGTAGGAATGGGGTTTCACCATATTGATCAGGCTGGTCTCAAACTCCTGATCTCAGGTGATCCACCTGTCTCGGCCTCCCAAAGTGCTGGGATTACAGGCGTGAGCCACCATGCCCATGCAAGAAATTATTTTAAGAGGGAGAAGTACTTTGAGACCCTCCTCTACCACTTAGACCCATTCGTATTTGTCATCCATAAAGGGTGAGTATCCTTCTAATCCAATTTTTACCCATTTAGGTGCATCTAATAATAATATGTAAGTGAACAACGTAGAAATATTTATCTAAATTAAGTGGAAAATTATATCAGCTGGACAAATAATGCCATAGTTAAGGGCAAGGATTATTTAAGGTATTATTTGACAAAATGGGATATTAAATTTATTTAAATAAGTTCAGAAGTTGTCGACATGGCCCCTGACACAAATGGCTGAAACTGATAGGCTTTTACATTTGTTTTCTAACTTAATCCTGACAACAATTTGTGAGGTAGGCAAAAAATTATTATTTATCTACATTATTCAGTTGAAAACATTTGGGTCCGGGAACTTTCCCAAACTCACATTTAGCAAATAAAAACAGAGGATGCCCATTTAAATTTGAATTTAAGATAAACAATTAATAATAATTTAGTGTATGTGTGTTCCATACCATATTGATATTTTGTTATAACTGAAACAAACAAAAATATCCAATATTTAACTGGAATTCCTCTATTTCACATGGTGGCCCTATACATAGTTAAATTAGAGTTCTAAAATTCATAATCATATATTTTTATTTCAATCCCAGCATACTTTCTGTCATGCCATATTGGCTTAAAATTGTGATCTTAAGTCCTACCCACTCCCAGCCTCAAGGTTATATCAATGTCTGTGATTTAGATAATTAGCAAAGCAGAACCCATTGGTATGGTTGTCTAACCAATATTGTCTTTATCCAGTGCAGAATTAAAGATTCAGCGTGACATCTTTTCAAAATGGTCTCTCTAAGACATGATCAGATTACATTTTTCATCTCTAGTTATCCTGCCTGTGTATTGAAAAGTGGCCTCTTTTCAAAATGGTCTCTCCAAGACATGACCAGATTACATTTTTTTATCTGTAATTATCCTGCTTGTGTATGCTCTATGTACATTGTCATTAACTAATATATTTGATTGGCTTAGTATACAATGTGAGTAAAAGAGTTGGAATCTAGGGGAAAAACCCACAATTACCTTGAACCCATCATTATTTCTTGTATTTGTTTATTATTTTTAATTAATTTTATTTACTTATTTATTATAATACAGTTTATTGACATTTTAGGAGATTCCAGTTACACCTAAAATAAAATATTACATCCTGAGCTACATGACAAAAGCTTCTTTTGTAATGTCATGTCATATTAATCGTATTTTACCACCATGTTTTATTTGAAGAAAAAAAAGTTCATTTTCAGTAAAACATTCAAAAGTACTGTTCGTAGAACATGACTTCGATTACATAATAAAGGCTTCTTCATTTTTAATAAAAGTTCCTCATCTTTTCCTATATCACTGGCTTTAATGTAAAGATTGAAACCATTGTATCCTTAAAACATAAGCCGTATTGTTCAGTGATTATTATTATGGCTGTGGAGTCAGAATACTTGCCGTTTGTGTCCCTCTGATTTCTCATTGTGTGCCTTTGGCAAGCTATTTAGCTTCTCTAAGTGTTAGATGTTTCATATATAAAACAGCCATAGAGACAACACTTAGTACAGATCGTCTCTTACAGTCTTTGCAACAACCCTAAGGGCAAAGTATCTGGTACGTAGCGAGCAGTTACGACTGTGATTATTACTACCTGTGCCTTTATAGAGTAAGGTTCTGTTTCTGTACTTCCTGGAACTTCTTTGTTAAATTCACTCATAAACATTTCATTTATTTACTTATATCATTTCTTTCTTCTTTCGTCCCTTCCTTCCTTACTTTTTTCCTTCCTTCCTTCTCTCTCTCTCCTTCCTTCCTTTTTCTCTTTCTTTCTTTCTCTCTTTCTCTCTTTCTTTTCTTTCTTTCCTTTCTCTTTGTTCTCTTTCTTTCTTTCTCCCTCTCTTTCTTTCTTTCCTTTCTCTTTGTTCTCTCTTCTCTCTTTCTTTCCTTTCTCTTTGTTCTCTCTTCTCTCTTTCTTTCATTCTTTCTTACTTTCTTTCCTTTCTCTTTGTTCTCTTTCTTTCTTTCTCCCTCTCTTTCTTTCTTTCCTTTCTCTTTGTTCTCTCTTCTTTCTTTCTCTTTCTTTCCTTTCTCTTTGTTCTCTCTTCTCTCTTTCATTCTTTCTTTCTTACTTTCTTTCCTTTCTCTTTGTTCTCTCTTTCCTTTCTTTGTTCTCTCATTCTTTTTTTCTCTCTCTTTCTTTCTCTTTCATCTATCCATCCTTTAACTTTATTAGAATATTTTCTTTCTGGTTTCATTCCTTTTTTATTAAATTCTCCATTCTGACTTTACCTTTTCTGATTATAAATACTTCTAATAATAGCTGGTGAATATAGTGAACAGGATTCTATGTTTGGAATCAGGAAAAAAAAACAGACAAATATTTTGCAGGCTCAAGATTTACTGCTGATTACCTATTATTATGGGACACTTTTCTAAGTTCTCATCCTATTTTGCAAACTGAGAAACTATACATGTTATCTTGAAGAGTTGATGTGAGGACTGAAGATAAAGTATTCTGGACATAGTGAGTGCTCAATAAATGCTATGATTTAGTACTCAATGAGAAGAGGATTCACTTTAAAAGGCAGCCTTAGAATCACAGCACTTCCACTAATTTTTCTCAACCCTCTCCACCAATAGCAGTCACGCACCGTCATACTTGGTTAGGTACATATTAAATAAGCTAATGCATCATAAGTACCCAATACATAAAAGGAACTCAAAAATGCCTGTTCCACTCCTATGCCTTCATTTCAATCCCAGATATTTTCTAAATCTGTATCTAGCCTGATTTGCATGGGATTACTTCTCCCTCAGAGGGTTTATATGTCTAAAAATCAGGAGAAATGGCTCACATTTAGAGTGTATCAGCAGTGGGTTGTGTTTTTAGTAAGCAGAGGCAAACCACAGAATCTGCGTACAATAGAAGACTAAGGTGTGGTGACAACAATCACTCCTGCCGTGGCATTCAGAGAAGAAAGCACTTGTCAAGATCAACATGCTAATCAGAGCTTGCTGGGAAAGTTAGTTGTTCCCAGCTGCAGCCAAAGCAGCAGGTTGCTTGAAACAGCTGCATCATACTCTTAACTGGATTGTCTGTGCAAGAGTGATCAGAAAATGTCAGAAATAAAACCAAGGAAGTAGGTGTTACATAAACATGCAAATTACCACAATTAGTCCTAGAGAGCCTTAAATTCCCAGAAAACATTGAGGTATAATGGAAGGAATTAGGAAGGGGCCAGACTGAACAGAGTTCAAATCTTAGTAACAGTTTTGCCTCTGTGAGTCTCAGTAAATTCTTCTGTAAATCTAAATCTTAATATCTATAAAAAACATTTATAAGGATAAAGTAAGCTAATGTATGTGTATTAAAAATTTATTGGCCGGGTTCAGTGGCTTACGCCTGTAATCCCAGCACTTTGGGAGGTCAAGGCGGGCAGATCACAATGTCAGGAGATTGAGACCATCCTGCCTGAAATGATGAAACCCCATCTGTACTAAACATACAAAAATTAGCTGGGCATGGTGGTGTGCACCTGTAATCTCAGTTATTAGGAATGTTGAGGCAGGAGAATCACTTGAACCAGGGAGTTGGAGGTTGCAGTGAGCCAAGGTCATGCCACTGCACTCCAGCCTGGTGACAGAGCAAGACTCTGTCTCAAAAAAAAAAAAAAAAAAAAGAAATTATTGCTGTACAATAAGTTGTTCCAGTATTAGCAGCTTAAAACTATAAACATTTATTATCTTACATAGTTTTTGAGGTTCAGAAGTCTAGGGGTGGCTTAGCTAGTTTCTTCTAGCTTAGACTCTCTCATGAGGTTTTACAGTTAAGCAGTTACCGAAAGCTAGAGACTGGGGCTAGATGATCTGCGCCCAAGCCCAGCCACATGACTGTTGGCAAGAAACTATTTCCTTGCTGACTCTTAGAAGGAGGCCCCAGTTTCCCATTATGTTTTTCCATAAAGCTACTGACAACAGGGCAGCTGGAGTCAGCCACAGTGAACCATGCAAGAGAAAAAGGAGGACCCAGAGACTGAGAAAGAGTGGAGGCATAGAGTAAACTAGACAGAAGCAAAAGTCTTTATATAATCCAGTCTCAAAAATCACTTCTGCCATATTTTTTTTCAGCTTTTATTTTAAGTTCTGGGGTACACGTGCAGGACGTGCAGGTTTGTTACATAGGTAAATGTGTTCCATGGTGGTTTGCTGCACAGATCAACCCATCACCAAGCTATTAAGCCCAGCATCCATTAGCTATTCTTCCTGATGCTCTCCCTCTCCTTCTCCCCAACAACAAGCCCCAGTGTGTTTTGTTCTCTGGCATGTGTCCATGTGTTCTCATTGTTCAGCTTACACTTATTAATGAGAACATTCTATTCATCGCAAGTGTCACTAAGTACAGGCCCCACTTGAGGGCAGGAGAAATATAAGACCATGAGTGTCGTAGAGATGGAAATTATTGGTCTACTTTAGAGACTGTCAACCATGATACAAGTTGCCTTAATATATAAGATATTTCAATAAATGTCAATTGAAATCTAAAAGCAGTTTGCAAAAGTTTCTTACAGCTTTAACATAGAAAATAGCTACAATTATTTTAACTTTTTTGAGTTTATGTAAGTTTTCTATGGAAAGTTTTAGTTTTATAGTAGGTGACTATTGAATATTACTTTTGTTCATCTTTTTGCCCTTAAATCTCAGTGTTCCTTGATCCTGAAATATTTTTGCAACACGTTTCTTTGAATATTCAGTAATTCATCTAACGGCCTTAATGAATCCACTCATTCTCTACATCCAAAAAAAAAAATAAACATTATTTTTATCTTAAATGATGATAAGAACACAAAATCAGTGTTATTCTAATGCACAAATTTAAGGATGAAAAGAATGAGGATGGTCACAACAATAATGATTTTGACATTTAATGCTTGTTTCTATTTACACATAAATCCTGAGTGTCCCAGGATGCTGAGGCTGAAGGGCTGGATAACATCTAATATACTTGCTTCCTTATAACCATGGTGTTCTTTTTTTCAAGAAACGGCAGCACCATTTTTTCTTTACTTTTTTTTTTAATAGATATGGGGTATCACCATTTTTTTTTTTACATTTTTTTTTAAATAGAGATGGGGTATCACCATGTTGCTCAGACTGGTCTTGAACTACTGGACTCAGGCAATCCTCCTGCCTCAGCCTCCCAAAGTGCTGGGATTATAGGCATGAGCCACCATGCCTGGCCTGGCACCACTATTTTTTAAAAAATTATTTTTTAATTATTTTTAAAATTTTTGCAGGTATATGACATGTTACAGGCATGATACTGGCATGCAATGTGAAATGAGCTCATCACAGAGAATGAAGTATCTATCCCCTGAAGCATTTATCCTTTGAGTTCAAACAATCCAATTACATTCTTAAAATTATTTTAAAATATACAATTAAGTTACTATTGACTATAGTCACCCTACGGTAGGTCTTATTCATTCTTTCTATTTTTTTTTTTTTTACCCAAGGCAACACCATTTTTATGTGTCACTCAAACCAGTGTGTGGAGCTACCTAGGACTACTCTTCCATTTTTTTTTCCTGGCATCCAATCAATTAGCAAATCCTGTTAACTTTATGTTGCATATGTTACTTAAACCCATTACTTTCTCTTTTCTTCTTCTGTGCTACTTCAGCAAGAAAGAAATCATAATAGTATAAACTATATGGAAAATTCTCTAATGATTCCCTTTTCCTCTAACTCAATCTTTAGCCTCCATAAAGCTGCCAATTAGACCATTCTGAGACACTAGATAAAATCTTTTGTATGATATGAAAAACATTCCAAATCTCATCCTAGACTATCTCTCTAGCTTCATGTTTTATGATTCTAAATTGAACACACACACACACACACACAAATACACACACCCTCACACTCTTGCCTATTTATGCAACAGCAAAAGGAAACTGGTTTTAATCTTCTAAATTCACCTTGCTACCTTATGCCCTAATTTGTTTGCATATGTTGTTTACCTTGGCTAGAATGTCATTTATTCTTTTTCTCTTTGGTAAACTTGTATTCTTGTTCAAAACCCCATTTTGATATTACTATTAAGCATTTTAAAAGCGCCTTCCCAAGCCTGAAAGAGTAAGCAACTCTTTTCTCATTGCTAATTACATACCTTATAAATGTTATATTACTGTTCTTCTAAGCCCATTCCATGGTAATATATCAGCTCGAAGCCACCTTTCATACCAAAAAAATGAGCATCTAGGGGTCAATAGTGTATTTAGTCGGACTTGCATATTTGAATGTAATAGATGGCTACACATATTATAAGTGTTAGGTTGAACCACAGGAAATTTTTGTCTTTGAAAGTAATAAAAATGGTCAAATATTTACAATTTTATATAGTTTTACACAGCATTTGATGAACTTTCCTTTCATAGTACACTGGAGTGTAATCCAGAGACAAGAAGAAACATAATTTGAGGAAGAGTTAGGAGGTGTCTATTACATTTTATGTGTTATCTTGTGAAAGATAAAATTAACTTAAGTGAAATTAGAAAGTGAATTATTAAGGTAAATAAGCATAGGGTACCTAGAGATGTATTTTGGCAAATAAAATAAATTGTTTAAAAATATTTTTGAAATGATATATATTTAAAGTATATTAGATATATTATATATAATAAATATTTAAAATAAATATAAAAACAAATATAATATGTATATGATATATATAACAAATACCTCAAATAAAATTAACAAAATACCTAAAAATATGGTATGTGTATATTTATGTGTGTGTGTGTATGTGTGTCTGTATGAGTGCATGGGTCTGTGTGTCTTGCATTCAGTAAGAGGTTGAGTGGCCACATGCCACTCAACTCTTCCATATAAGAGAATATACTACATTTTTATAATAAAGGGTAATGATCACTATAAAGTATAATTTTCATTCTCTAAAAAAGTTTGAAACACCTGAAGATGACGAAATTTTTTTTAGAGGACTTACTTAGTTTCAAACATCATCTGGGGAGAGAAATGAAAAAAGACAATTAAACTCACCTCAGTGGATGCCTGCTACAAGTTCCAAGAATTTTCATGATAATCTTAAAAGACGCTTCTTTACGGTGTTCATTTTATGAACTTTAAATGTCAGTTTTTCTTATGATATCCATATTGAAAGCCACAAATGATTCATGTATGCGCCAATGTACGCTGATGACTTGTCTACAGAGAACTAGTCAATACTGATATTATCTATATCCATATATATAGATATAGCTATACCAATCTACAACTATATGTATAACTAAATGTACATATTAATATAATTTCAGTCTTAGCTTTATCTTTGTCATTCATGCATCAGCAGGCATACAGTCTGGTAAACCAAACTACTGGAAAGTAGCCCAGTCCTGTCATATGGATGGGAAAGTGTATTTTGCAGGGAGGGTGGCCTTAAGAACTATTTCCTCTTATGCCATCAAGCCATTTGGCTGCCCATCCATCCATAAACTACTTTGCAAACACTATCCCTCCCTGTCTCCCTTCCTGAGGAGACTCTCATGCTGCTCAAAATCTTCCCAAAGACCTCCATTCCCCCTCCCCTGCAGGAATGCTCAGATTTGGCCAGGTACTCAAATCAATTTGCCTTTGCTTAAACCTCCAGGGGAGATGTCAAACAGTGAGTCACTTACCTGATGTCTGAGATTTTCCAAAATGTGTGACACAGATTCAATATTTCTGAAAATGAAGCATGTTTTGGTCATAGTTGGTAGTAAATTTAAGCTGTTCATTTCTTGTCAAGAGGTACCCTTGTGTTCCTTCAAGCTCGAGAATCATTTTGAAGCTGATGGATCATGCTCTGTCTATTCAATAAACTTTAAGTTTCTAATATGTTTATTGAATGATATTAGAAGCTGTGGGCAATGCAAATATAAGTAAGATGTGCCCCATGACCTTAAGAAGCCCATAAGCTCTTATGGGTAAAATAGGTTATTTACTGGTACAATAAGGCTTACTAACACATTAACCTACTGCATAGTAGACAGTCAATAACCATTGAGTAAGTTAACGAAATACAACAACAGAATTGTCATCATACTGCTGTGGAAATAGAGGAAGGGTGACTAATTTTAATGTTGTGGGACAGAAAATGCCCCTCTGTTGCAGTTCTCAAAATGTTGAAATCCTACTTACCTTCAAGGCTCATGGTAACCATAAATATGAGAATGAAAAATCCAAACAGGAGGCTTTGCGTGAGCAAAACAGTGAAGTGGAAAAGGCTATGATATATTTGGGAAATGATGAGCAGATTGTGGGATTAAGGGTATGTGTGTGGGGAGACATCAGGCTGTTTGGCCAAATATAGAATCACAAGAGTGCAGCACCAAGAAGAGAGATTCTAGAAATTAAAAGAAATGAAATAAAGTCCAGTTTCTACACTCTATTCAGGATGGTATAAATGTCATCCCAAGAAAATGTGTCATCATGGTCATTTTTTTCACCTTCCTTCAGTGACCTGCTTTAGGAATTAGGTAGTTATTTTCTTTAAAATTCTGACACCTCATTGAAAAAATAGAATTCTCTTCTGCATTTGAATTCTATCCCATGTAGATTTCTTTCTTTTTACTTTCTCTTTCTTTTTCTTTCTTGCTTGCTTGCTTGCTTGCTTGCTTGCTTTCTTCTCGCTTTCTTTCTCTCTTTCTCTTTCTTTTTTTCTTTTCTTTCTCCCTTTCTTTCTTTCCTTTCTCTCTTTCTTTTCTTTCTCTCTTTCTCTTTCTTTCTCTTTCTTTCTTTCTTTCTTTCCTTCTTTCTTTCTTTCTTTCTTTCTTTCTTTCTTTCTTTCTTTCTTTCTTTCTTTCTTTCTTTCTTTCTTTCTTTCTTTCTTTCTTTCTTTCTTTCTTTCTTTCTTTCTTTCTTTCTTTCTTTCTTTCTTTCTTTCTTTCTTTCTTTCTTTCTTTCTTTCTTTCTTTCTTTCTTTCTTTCTTTCTTTCTTTCTTTCTTTCTTTCTTTCTTTCTTTCTTTCTTTCTTTCTTTCTTTCTTTCTTTCTTTCTTTCTTTCTTTCTTTCTTTCTTTCTTTCTTTCTTTCTTTCTTTCTTTCTTTCTTTCTTTCTTTCTTTCTTTCTTTCTTCTTTGTTTTTTAGGCAGAATCTCGCTCTGTCCCCCAGGCTGGAGTGCAGTGGCACAATCTTGGCTCACTGCAACCTCCGCCTCTGGAGTTCAAGCGATTCTCCTGCCTCAGCCTCCTGAGTAGCTGGGATTACATGCATGTGCCACCATGCCCAGCTAATTTTTTGTATTTTTAGTAGAGTCAGGATTTCACCATGTTGGTCAGGCTAGTCTCGAACTCCTGACCTCAAGTTATCCGCCTACCTTGGCCTCTCAAAGTGTTGGGATTACAGGCAAGACCCATTGCACCCGGCCTCATGTAGATTTGTTTCAATTTTACAATGGCTATGTTTAATAAGAATAATACCGAAAAAAAAAAACCTCTGGACTAGTACTCATGAGACATGGATCTGGTTGAAGATTCACCACCTTATATTTTTGGGGCAGTCACTTCTGCTTTCTGACAGTCTTAAATAGAAATTGGTTTACTGGTACACAAAGGCTCTTCTGGATATAATGTTCCATTCATCTATGATCATTTGACGCATTTATATATTTCTATAAGGAGACACTCAACCACCAGTTCCTTAATTCCTTTTCCTGATTGTGTTTCTCACCATCCTTGATGGCTGCCCATCTCTGGGCCTTATATCTGTCACAAAGTTTGAGGCATTATCATGGTGATCTTATATAGTCAATACTCTTCTAGGAAAGAAAGTATCAGAGCTGAAATCTGTGTTCAACTAGCCATACCAATCCATCTTTAGCTTTCCGAAATATACTCAATTCCAACATCTTTCTAGTTATATTTGGATGGACCATTGGATTTATCATTTCCCTTTAAGATTGTACGCTTCTTGAGGAAGGATGGCTTGTTTAGCCAAATTAAGCAGTGTCCAGATCAACCCCTTCCATGCACAAAATCAACATTTAGCAATTTGGATGAGTGGGCCTTTGTGTTATGTAGATGAAAATTAGATATATAGACTATTAATCCTCAATATATTTATGTTTTATCCTTAGTAAGACTTTCTGGGGTCTCCTTGCTGTCTCATTTATGTAAATAGTCAAGCATAGGGTATTTTTGCTATTGTAAATATTTAGATGTGTCTTGGGGTTTATGTATTTAGCTTAGTTACCTCATAGTTGTGCATATAAACTAATGCACATGAAGTGTTCAGTAGCTCAGAGTCGAAGTAACATACTTAACATAAGCAGAGTACTTCTGCAAAATCAGGTAGAATTAAAAATTTACAAGGAGAGATTCTTAGATAATTTAGTCCAATTTCTCACTTCATGTTGTTATCCCTATAGAATTATTTACTTGACATTTTGATTTGAACCTCAACATTCAACTTTCTCTTGTGAATAGGCTTCAATATTAATGTAGCTGGCCTTGGACTGTTGAACCCAGATCTTACCTGAGGCAGGTATTTGACAGCAGGAACCATGTAGATATAATTTTGTATGGAACATATGAGGCAGAAGCCAGGTGTGGGTAATTCACTGCAAGGAGATGAAGGAGATGTTAATAAGGTTACTTCTAATGTTCATGTCATTTCTGATTCTTTAACAATTGCCACATTTTATGTTTCACAAAGTTTCCAAAAGCAATACTGGCTAGAGGGTTTAGAAAACTCATTATGCACTGCCATTTATTAAAATTATAAATGGCGCTAAATGTTGCTTAAGCACTTTCTTCATCTGGAAAATAAAGGTATTATTAGTACATTCTTCAGAGGGAAAGCGTGAAGATTAAATAAGCTAATCAATCTAAAATTTACAGTGGCTCTGGGAAGTACAATAACGTGCTCAATTTTACCTGTTGTATTATGCCATTTCAAATTATTTACTGAACATTCATCTGTGTCAAACAATTTGCTAGGCACTGAGGGTTCAGCATAGAACAAAAGATACAAGACCCCTGCATTTACAGAGATCATATTACAATGGATAAAGGCAAACAATAAACAAAAAAAGTGAGAAATCAAAATTAATGGTAATGGTAAAGTCTATAAAAAGAAATTGAAATGATAGAATATAAGCAAGTGGTCATTTAAGGTCTTCCAGGAGAAATTAAACTTAATTTGAAATTTGATTGAACAGAAGTAAGTCCTGTGATGTTAAATGGGAAGAAGATTTCCAGTGATGAAAATATATAGACCAAAACTTCCAAAGAAAGACCATCCTTGCAGCATTCAAAGACCAGAATGAAGCCACGGTGACTTGAAAGTAGTAAATGGGAAAAGGGAGTGAGGGCGAGATGTGGAATGATAGAATATGATGTTATGACTCATATATATAAAGTTTGGAGACCATAGTAATGAACCTGGATTTTACTCGAATATAAAGAGAAACTATAGAGAAAGATATCACGGTCGGATTTAAATGTCTTCCTCCCTTCCTTCCTTCCTTCCTTCCTTCCCTCCTTCCCTGCTTCCCTCCCTCTTTTTCTTCCTTCCTTTCTTTCTTTTCTTTCTTTTCTTTCCTTTCTTTCTTTCTTTCTTTCTTTCTTTCTTTCTTTCTTTCTTTCTTTCTTTCTTTCTTTCTTCTTTCTTTCTTTCTTTCTTTCTTTCTTTCTCTCTCTCTCTTTCTTTCTTTCTCTCTCTCTCTCTCTTCCTTTCTTCCTTTTCTTCTTTCTTTTTTTCTTGTCTCACTTTGCCACCCAGGCTGGAGTACAGTAGAATGATCATGGCTCACTGCAGCTTCCAACTCTTGGCCTCAAGTGATCCTCCCACCTTGCCTTTAAGTTTCAAAATGACAACGGCTTCTGAGTTAGGTAGAAACTATAGAAAGGCAAATGTAGAAGAAGAGAGATGACTGATCTAGCAAATGTGGGTAATGAAGATGGGTTGAACTAGGTAGAATGTTAGCCATGGAAATGAAAATGATGACGGCAGAACAGCGTTGTTCAATGGAACTTTGTGATAATGGAAATGTTCTGTATCTGAGCACTGGAAATATAATGAGCGTGACTGTGAAACTCACTCTTATAAATTTTATTTAATTTTAATTAATTTAAATTTAAATATCCACACATGACTACTGATTTTCCGATTGAACCATGCAGCTCTAGAAAGTGACAGGTTGGAGTCAAACTGACACACCTTCAGAAGTCCATGTTCTTAGCTACAGCCCTGTAGCGCATTACTTAAAAGGTGCAAAAGAATAATTTTTGAGCTGCTCCTTTTATAACTCTTCCTAGGCTTCCTCTTCCACTTCAGATACAGAGGGGGTGATCAGCAACACCGAGAGAGTGCAAATCATGCCACCCAGCACTTTCTCACTGTGGGTGCTTCTGCGGAGCCCAGGCTGCCTTGCAATTCCCCTCTTGTTAATAGCATGTGGTATAAAGTGAGAAGGAGAAATACATTTGCTTTCTAGGAACACTTAGCGATCCTGATAATGTGTTTAGTACCAAAGACCTGCTTTAAATTGTGAAGAGGTTGTATTTAAAACTGTCTCTTTCCAGTTGATTGTTAATTTATGGCATCATTATAAGTGACAACAAATAGCTTCTCTGGGATGGCAGAAATGCAATTAGATTGTCACAGACTGTCAGCAGTTGTATTTGGGTGTGATTTTTAATGCATTCTTTATGTAAGACTCTACTGCTAATAGTAATAATAGAAACACAACTTGTTCTTTTAAGGAAGGGGAATAATGAGCATATTCTATTATATTCAGAGTGGGAGTTGCAGCAAAGAAGGTGCTGTAAACATTGGAGTTCTCAAGATTCTCCTTGCTTAGTGCCTGCATTTACTAAGCACTCAATAAATATTTTAAGTGAAAAAATAAATAACAAAATAAGTGCCCTTAAAAAATAAAACTCCAGAATGAGTATATTCAAAGTGTGCTCATTACCTCAAGTAATGTCACTAGATGATGCATACTTATTTCAGTATTTCTCTCAAAAGATGTTTGAGACAGTTTCTGAAAAATTTCAGTCTCTTCTAGGTGATAGTTAAGGGCAGACACAGTTGATGGCCCGAGGTAAGTTCTTAGGGGCTCTGGAAATTTACATTAATGTTGAATGACTATTGAACATCCATGGTGTGCAAACCTCACCCCTTTATAGGTGAACAAATTGCACATGTTAGGGATCTGTGCAGCTGTCTTTTGAGTCTATGACCTTTAAAATAAACACCCTCTCTAATGAAGAGTAGTTAACTTCATAATCTTTGGAAAGAGCAAAAAACCAGCTGCATGTGGGTGAATAACGTGACTGTTGATCAATTCAGGGGATGCTTTTTTTTGCTGAAAAATGCAGTATGATAATATACATATAAAACAAGCCCATAAACTAGAATGAAAAGAGACTTTCCAATGTTCCCTGAAACTAGTCAGTGCCATTGCATTAAGCGAACAGTGTTTTGAGGGAACCAGTATAAAAGCAAAAAACAAAAACAAACTAACAAAAGACCCATCTTTAACTTTGTTTTCTAAAGACCAATCACAATGAGAAAACTGAAATATCCAGGGGTCTCTTGGCAGAAATCAACAATATCTGGGAGTTCTTCTTTTAAAGAGAGGCATACTGAAGAAAGCACAAATCTAACCAGCTGTTCTCATCCTAGCAGTGTTCAGGAAACATAAAGCTCACCAGGCCAGGAGAATAGCTTTTGGCAATACTACTTGGTGACCAGCAGTAGCCCTCTTATTTATTTATTTTACAGATTCTTTGGTGTTCCTTCAAATAATCTTAGACATAAGATGAAAAGGAGGATGACAAATACTTAAGTTAGTTTCGCTGCATTTCAATCCAACATTTTTCTCCAGGAAAAGGAAAAATTATGATGCAAACATCACTGTCTGAGCTTGGCCCATGTTCACATAATTTATTCCCTGAATACCTGCTGAGTAACTGTGATGTCTCAGGTCCTGAGCCAGATTTTGGCATGTCATCAGTATATGATAGACATGTGGTCCCTGCCTGCAAGTAGATTTTAGTAGATACATTGTTTGGAAGGAGAGATACTATCTCATTTTAAGTACAGTGCTCAGGAAAGTACCAGACTCATACTGCACTAAAAGCTTTTACTGCTCATAAATAGTTCAGCCTTTATTTTCAGTCACTTAGAACTCATATACTAAATTCTACCCACACTGCCAGCAGCAGTCAGATAACACTGAGTACCAAAAAAAGTTGTTCTCTAATGAACGAGACTCATGTCCAACTCTTGTATTTCTGCTGCACACTTTCTTTCCTGAGCTCTAAATGTAGCTATCCAGTAGGAAGTGAAACATAAAGAAGTATTTGATTTTTGTTCTTCAAGTATCTTCTTCCCTCAGTCCTTACTTAATAAATGCTATCACCACTTACTGAATTACTCAAGTCATAATACCTGATAATTACTCTTATTTCTTCCTTTCTTCACCTCCCCACATCCTATTCCTAAACCATATTTTGAAATAATCTGTTCTTCTCCTCTTTCTTTCTTTCTTTCTATCTTTCTTTCTTTCTTTCTTTCATGAGACGGAGTCTCACTCTGTTGCCCAGGCTGGAATGCAATGGTGTGATCTCATCTCAGTGCAACCTCCGCCTCCCAGGTTCAAGAGATACTCCTGCTTCAGCCTCCTGAGTAGCTGGGATTACAGGTGCGTGACACCGCATCCAGCTAATTTTTGTATTTTTAGTAGAGATGGGGTTTCACCATGTTGGCCAGGTTGGTTTTGAACTCCTGACCTCAGGTAATCCGCCTGCCTCAGCCTCCCAAAGTGCTGGGATTACAGGCATGAGCTACTGTGCCCGGCCTTCTTCTCCACTTTCATTGCTACTATTCCAGTCCACACTACCACTGTCACCAATCTGAACCCCTATAACAGTCACGTTATTGATCTTTCCTACCCTTGCCTTTCCATAAACCATTCAACACATAGCAGATAGAAGGATATTAATAAAATCAATTTTTCTGAAAATAATGTTTAATCACCTCCTCTTGAATTTTTATTTAAAATTCAAACTCTAAGCCGTGACTAAAATGACTATCATCTGATCATCAAATACACAAACTGCTTTCTCAACTCAGTTAATTCATGGGTGGCCTGATGGTAACACTCTTCCCAGGAGCTTCTCATTTGATTGCCTGGTTTCTTTACAACATTCAGATCTTCTCAGGACAGCTTTAATTGACAACTCGATCAAAAATGTAAAGTCTCTCTTACTACTCTATTGCATCACCTGGTTTATTTCTTTCTTTGCAATTCTCACTCTTGAAAATTATTTTCTTTATTTGCATACTTCTTGGAACATAAATTCTATAGAGAAAAGAACATAATATATTTTGATTTTGTTGTTTTCCCATAATGTAGAAGATAGGCAGGCACATAATAGATGCACAGTAAATATTTATTGAAAGAATAAATGAAGAGACCTTTAACCATGAAGACCATGTTAGAGCCACTCTTTGATCTACCGTTGAGATATGGCATTATTATTTAGGGACCTTTTCGTTTCTCTTCCCAGTGGAATTCCACAAGGAGGCAGTCCTTACTTCAGAAATAGACCTATTACTGCTGTTGAGCACTCAGAGGCTCAACACACATTCTAAATATAGTCCTTGTATTCAGTGATTTCACAATAGCTCTCCAGAGAATGTTTAAAGACTCACTGAAACGAGTCACCTCACAAATTAATTTGCTAGTTTTCAATCTTTATTAATGCAAATTGATTGGATACTGTAAACATATACAGATGAGTGTTCGGGTTCCCACTGTTTTTTCTGCACACTGAGACAGTATGAAAAAAATAAAAAGGCTTTGCAAATAGACACAACTTCAATAAAGAACATGGTTGAGCCATCATTTTCAAGCTGGAAACCTTCTCTTGAGACTGGCCCATGTAGCTGTCTAAAAGGAATTTCACTTCCATTTTAAAAGTGTAAAATTTCTTGCATACATTTTTATTTCCCAGAAAGACATAAAGTGACATGGTATTTTGGCAACCTAAGAATATTTTTGAATAATCAGACCCGAGTGCTGATCAGTTTGAGAAGACATGTGATACAGCCAAGTTGTTTAGTGTCAGCTACTGTAAAGTGTAAAACTCATCCAGGGAATATGGAATCACTTTCTCACTCTCTTTGGGTGAAATATATGCATTGCTTCCTAGTTCACAACACCCAATGGAAAGCAAACTGAGGACAACAGCAGAAGGGTAGATGCTTTTTCTTGGTATTAAAACGGCAGAACATATTTTTTACAAAGATAAATCTCACCTTTGCACAACATTATGCATGTCTAGAAGAGTTTTCTATTGCACCTTCTCATTGAATCCTCATATCAAATAGCACCTTGCACTGTATCAGGAGAAAGTATCATTATTTCCCTTTTAGCTAAATTCAAGTGGAGAGAGAGATAGTGGCAAATGTCTCATAAATTTGAGGAAACAATAAAAGGTAAAAAGAGGCTACAAGTGGGACATTTTTAATTTAGTTTTAATCCTTAATCAAGATGCTAATAGACACTTAGTAAAGAAGTAAAGATTCAGGTTATGTACATTTAAAAAATGAGGAATTCAAGAATATGATCATCCTACTTCATAGAGAAGGAAATAAGCTCAGAGAAATGTAAACAGTCTTGTAACAAGCATAAATGTGTCATTAGACATACTAAGTTTCACAAACTTTCCTGTCAGTGAGACAGAAGCAACCATAATTTATAAATTAGAAGATTGATAAAGAAAATTTAAGAATTAGATAAGTGTGTGTCAAGCTATTGAAGTTAATAAGTACAAAATAACATATTATATAGTTTACTATTTTTAGAATTGTTTTCAAATATTTTCTTTCTCCCCCATTTAAAAAAGAAGCATCACCTTTCCTCCTCCTTCATTTCCAATCTTTAATTTTTCAAGTCCTAACAAAATAATCATAGACAACCACTGATATTTAGTGATATTTGTTTCTGACAGGCTAGTTTTTATTGAAGATCTAAACATATCTTTTTTAATTCCATGGTGATTCTAGATTGTCTTTGAACTTAACGTTTTGGGATTTTATTTTGGCCTTCCAGAGAGCTGTATGGTTTTACTAATACAAAATATTTGCTAAATCAGGCAGCAATCTACATTATTAATAACTATGAAATATTATAAATATCTAAAGAGTAATATTATAAGCAACCAAAAAACTACATCAGATTTTTATATATTAAAGATAAATTACTTTTATCAAATATTATGAAACTGAGCTTAAGAGTATTGCTTTCATTTGGTATAGATGACAATTAAAATTAGATACTAAGAAAGAACGATTGCTTAGAAGAAAACTGTGAAAACATCAGAAAATGTTTGATTTCTCAAACTTCAAATTTTACTTTTGAAATAGAAGCAGATTTTTTCCATTGAATTGGTTTTTCCACACAAGAAAATTTATATGTACACTGTCTAATATGGTAGCCACTAGCGACATGTGGCTATTGAGCACTTGAATTGTGGCTAGCTCAAATTGAGATGTGTTATAAAGGTAAAATACACAACAGTATTCAAAGACTTAGTACAAAAAAGTTTCATTAATATTTTTTGATATTAACTACATGCGGAAATAACAGAATTTTTAGTGCATTAAGTTAAAATATTATTAAAATTAATTTAATCTGCTACTTTTTTATACAGAGGCACTAAGAAATTTAGAAATTTGTGTCACTTATATGAGCAATGCTTGTTTAAACATGTAGAAATGTTCTTGAAAACTATAAAGCTGTAACTACTTGTATTTATTATGTACTGAAACCTTCCTCACTTGACAAATGTTGAAAGTTAGTCTTTGCTTTTATAGAAACTTATTCTGCAATGTCTGCAAATTACCGTTTGTATGCCATTTATTTCAATAATTGTGGAGAAAAATGCTGGTAATAAGGAGCCCTTTTTGTTTCATAGAATTCTAGTGAATATAAAGATAATGAGGGAAAATCTTCTAAATTTAATAAATAATTATGTTGAATGAAAATAATGCAGAGGTAGGTAAGGGATAGGGACATTAAACTTGAAGATATTTTGAGGCACACCAACATATTTTTATTTCATAATTCTGTAAGATATTTCATATAGGGAAAGGCTCACAAGATAAAATTACATAAAAAAGGAAATTATAAAACCACATATATGGTCTGTGAGAGAAAAGAGAAGGGAAATTTACTTTATTCTTTAGAAAAATAGTTATTTTGATGTAATTAGTATTGACAGATTCATGGATTATGAGTGATTTCTATTTTCCCTTTTTTGTATTTTTAAATAAAGGTATATTTATTTTTTGATATCATCCATAATGAAAATATATTAACTTTGTCCTAAAGTACCTTAATAATTTTCTGCAAAGCTTTTAATACTAGTCAGCAGCCAACAAGATAACTTGACATGAATTCATTCCAAAAACCCAGAGTCATCAAGGAAAAATGTTTCCCAGTGAACATGGCCAAGGGAAAACACTATTAAAATTTTCTTCGTAATTACACACAGAATCCAGTCAGTACAGTGAAGACAACTTGTAGAAGCCCGAGGCTATGTCCACACAATCTGGTTTCCAGGTAATTTTTCAACTGTTTTCCCATTTTCAAATATATACATTTTACATGTAGATCCTGACTATTCACTCTTATGGGGAAAATGAAACTAAAATTTGTGAACTGGATTGCATTGCTTTAGGATAGTTCCCCCACGTAGGGCAAGCACAACCTTTCTAACATAAAATGAAAAAAGCTGTCCAGTTAAATTTCAGCAAAGACAGACCACAGAAGGGTTACGAACGTCTCTTTGTAGTGCTTTTGGCAAAAAATATTTCAGATTAAAAAAAAAAATCAAAAGCAGAATAAAAAGAAATGTGGTGCTTTCTTTGGGAGATATAGAAAGGTATTTTTATCTAAATGGATAAAATATATTGTCAAATAGAAAATACATATTTCTCTGAGCGTTTATGCAAGAAAATTGAAAGAGTAAATGAGAAGTCAAAGTCATCGCAAATAAGAAGGAGACCATTCACTTGAAAAATGTTAATGGAGGTAAAATGTATGGAATATATCAAAAATTCGTCTGCAAATTGACAAGCAGAGCTGACAAAATATAGGCAGATGCCCATTAAGGTGCCAAACATTGAAAATGCTAGAAAAAGTACCTATCAGGGAACCAAGATTATTTTCAATGGAGCTAAAATGAAAGTTTCTGAGTGGCATTTACCATGCAAAATATCTCTTAAATATTGTCACAGTAGGAAATTGTTCTATCAAAATAGAAGGTTTTTGTTTTTTAATATTGCCTTTAGAGCCCTCTAATGGCCTTGGGAATTTATGAGGTTAGATCTCTCTAGTCAGGGCTTAGAATTATTTTAGAGCACTCTTGCTAACTAGTTAACCTACTTCTATTTTTAGTCATTCTTTAATGCAACAAATGTTTACAAAGCAACCACTCCGTCAGTTATTATGATGACTCTAAAAATATAGGTGATAAACAAAACACAATTTTATCTTTTCTTACAGAGCTAGCAAGGAAAAAAATATATAATAATGTAATAATTACTTATTTCATAATTACTGACATGTTGATGTGAAGAAGTGCATGAAGCATTTGGTAAAATTTTGAGATTCAGGGAAAACTTCCTGAAGAAAGAGGCCTATGAATTGAGATTGGAGGTATAAATAGCAGTTAACTAAGCAAAGAAAACAACTGGGGTGATGGGTTGCTCTAGGCAGAGGAAATGTGAAGATGCTAAATCAGGAAGAAGTGAATGTGTTGTAGAGATATAAAGAAATGCAATATGAAAGCAAGAAGACAGAAAGAGAAGGGAGCTGCATGATGGTGAAGAGGGAGGTGGAGTTCAACCACAGTTGAGGAGTACATGTTTTATGCTGTGTGCACTGAAATCAGAATGATTAAACATGTTTGCAAAAGATAAAATTATGGAGGTTATCATATAATAATAACAATGATTGAGCACTAAGTAATTTTGCATATCTTATCTCATTTAATGAGTTGACGCCCATTAAGCTGGAGAAAATAAGTTGTGGCTTATTTTACTTACTCTTACAAAGTCCCAAATAATGTTCTGTATTTCCTAAGCATATTTCTTTTTTTTTTTAAAGCATATTTCATTCTTTCTTCTTGGATATTGTTTTTCTTTCTTTCTTTTGTCTGTTTTGAGACAGAGTTTCGTTCTTGTTGCCCAGGCTGGAGTGCAATGACACTCATTTTATTCTACAATTTATATATTCTTCAAAATTGTTTTGAGTTTATATAATGAGTTTCCTATTTAAACTCACAGGTAGTTGGGGTTTTTCTTTCGGAATGTGAATCTATTTTAAAACCTTCTTAAAACATGGTTGTGTACAGATGAATATGATGCATGAAGCCACTTGACATGGGCAGAAGGATAGCCTCTGATAATAATCTGGCCACAGAACCTTTCTAGTCTTGGTTTTCATTGAACCTGCTGAGTCTAGTTCCAGGAGCATCTTGAGAAGAAATCCTATCTATTCTGCCAAAATGTGTCTCAGTGTTTGGAAACCTGCAAGCACGCATGGCTACCACCCTCATTTTTATGTTGGACCCATTTGAGGAGTAAAATTCATTGCTCCTCAAGGAATCTGCAAGAGCACTAACTCACTGTGGTTCCTCAGGCTCCTGGCACAACCCAGATTCTCATGAGTGATCACCTTAAATTATGTTGTGAAGGGACTTGTGATTAAATGAATGAGCACCGGAGTTTGACTACAGTAAATCAGCAAATAATCACAGGCATGGAAAAATATATGAGTGCAATTTCACAATGTCTCATATATCTGCATTCGCCTTGGCAGGCTTTGATACTCCCTGCATTGAACTAGAAGTCATCTTTTATACCTAAGTCATGGGGACAGGAATATTCAACTTTGTTTACTCTTGTAACCACTTATACCATAGTTCCCACAACTTCTCGCTTCAGATGCTTCTGATGTACCTTGAGAGCCCTTCATATATCACTTTTATAAGGTTTTGTTCTATGAAAGATTGCCTAAATTTTTAATATTAAGGTCGTATTTTGCAGATACTATTTTTTAAACATGAAAAATTTTTGATATGGATATACTTCTTTTAGAAAAAATCATTTATTCATTTGACAAGCTAATTATCTTTTGTACAATTTTAGGACTAAATTCTATGTGAAGAATTCCATTAAAAAAGAGTAGTTTGTATAGATGATGCCATTTCTATTCCTTAACTATATTTCATTAGTCCATTTTATTTTACCAGGATAAAAAGTTTTAAGACATGTGCTAACCTCAAAGCTATGGACTAGTTCACTGAAAATAATCAGTTGCCTTACTTATAAGTGCTCATTTAATAAACCCATGAGTATCTTCATGTTTTGTTAACCTCACTTGAATAAACAGAACTCAAAACTGACTCTACATTAAGGCTCTGCAGCTCCTTAAATTTATTTGAGAATATTGGCACAAATGTTTATGACTTCTGTGTCGAAAAATGGGCAAGGAAGAGTCCTCACCTCACTGGTATTCCCTCCTAAAGTCAATGTTGTTGAGACAAGTTAATGAGAAAATCACAGACCATTGTCTTAGTCATGGTAGGATATTTGCAAGATTGCTGCTGTCCTCCAAGAATTCCCTAGAATTGCGTGTATTTTTCGTAATGAGAGATGGTCTTTGAAGATTTTTAAAAGATATCTTTGCAGTTTATGGAGATATATATATATATATATATATATAAAATTTCCAGGAATAATATATATCTTTTCTTTCTCTTCTGCAACACTGCTGCTACAAATGTAGATCCTCAAACATTTGATTTTGTACGAAGACACGTGGTCACCACTACCACATTTAGAAGGCAATTTGGCAATTGGAGATCCTCTGGGTTTTGTTTTATTTTGTTTCTGTTCTCATTATTGCTTCTTCATTTCAAATGCAGTATTTAATGATTGTCATATATAATTTCAAATTTAGTTTTAAATTTGGAAAAGTGAAATTTTATTCTATAATTTATATATCCTTCAAAATTGTTTTGAGTATATGTAATGTGCAAGGAACTTTGCTAGCACTCAAGATGCTACAAGTATATGAGACAGATCTTTGTATCACACAGATCTGTGAAACATCTAAGCCCTACTTCCTAAGGAGAAGAAAGATTAGTAACTGAAATGTTTACAAAGTAATATGTGCTTTAAGACATATACAAATCTGAAGATGTAGAAATTATTTTCTTCAATGGATGCTCAGAAATGTCCTCATGCAGGTAGCCATTTGAACTTGCTCATAAAGAAAGGTAGGGTTTGTGTCTGTGAGTGGGAAATTGATGTAGCTCAAGTGAAGGGCAAAGACATGTAAAAAGAGATGGAGGATGGAAAGAATGGAATAATCAAAGAATTTGTTTTATATGAATCAAGTGCCTAGGGTTATGAGATCCTTCAAGGGCAGCAAAGGGGAAGGGAGATTTTCTTTAAAAATTGAATTTCTGAATAATGAAATGCTAGTTTTGACTGCAAAGCTCTGACCACTCTCTCTTCGACTTTCAATCTGACCACTCACTCTTCTACTTTAAATCATTGGTGGTCTCCATAGACACACAAGTTGTCTGAAAACAGATTGGAATAAAGAGACAATGAAAGCCATAGAAATAGAAGTGATAGAAGGGCTAATTAGGGGCTATTCTAAGTTAAAAACTAGAGATCATGGGAGGTTAAAATAGAAAGTTCGAAATAGAAATAGGGGACCCATAATAACCTGTAGATTATTGTAGCAACAATGATACGGGTTTACATGACTTGTTTGTAAATCGGGCCCTTTCTCCATGTTGTAACACATATCCAATGATGATGCTGAAGATCAGAACATAGGTCACAGGAGCAAAATACATTCTGTTTAATACAAATTATAAAGTTGGAAAGAACAATAATATTAAGAAGTCAAAGAGATTAACCTAGTTTTGACATTAGACTTAAAAACGTCTGTAGGATTTCATTTATGTGTAACCTTTAAACAGATAATCAGAAACTAGAACACATGGTGGAAAAATAATAAAGACATAGATTGAGGAGTCACTTGGGCAGTTTAGTTAAGTAAAGCTATTAGAATGGATAGGATGCATGATAACCTACTCTATAGAGTAGAGTAGAAAAGCCAGACTATAACTAGGATTCTAGTTTTGGCTTCAACAAGAACTACCAAGAACTCATTATGTATTACTCCTAATTTTACAAGAGGAACATGGATAAACTAAAAATCAACAAATTTTCTTGCACCCTTCAGAGATCTGAGGTTGCAAGGCAAATTGCCAACCCTAAATCTGGAGATAGAGGTGGATCCAGAGAAACAGTTGAAATCTGCTTACTTTGGGCAGAGCTCCCTGAAGCCGTAAACTGGTAGGTAAAATTTAATGGTCATTTTCATGAATTTTTGTAGGGTGAGTGTGGATTAACCTGTGGGTGAGAACCTCCTGAGGCCACAGTCTTGAGTTCCACCCTTCTGTAGATTTTACCTCCAGGGCCCTCATCAGCTTCTCACAGTGAAAAACCTGAGAAAGGTCCCCCTCATGGTTTCAACAATGAGAGGTGGAGGAGTGGAGGGTGGGAAGAGGAAGAGAAATTATGAATATGCCCAGATCTTTCTTTATATTAAAGGACTATTGCACAGGAGGTCAGGAGGTACTTTTGTCACAACCTTATCCAAGATAGACGAAATTCAATTTTTCTATTTCATCACCCACTACCTTTTCTATCTTGCCAAAGAGATAAACGAAAAACATAGTCAATAGGGGTAAGAACATCAACAGAGTAAATGGGAAACACTACAGCCAGGGAGTGAATGGGAGAAAAGAAATTGTATCATTGTTGAGATACTTGCTAAGGTCACAGCTGAAAGACAGTTCCACTAAAAGATGGAGATTTAATTTGACAATTACATAATGTTTCCCATCTTTGTCACCTTACAACCACAACAACAGAGACCCAGTACATTAAGAGTGGATTGCAGATGAAAGAGCTGCAAGAAATTGATTTTTGTCTGAGTAGGGGTATTTAGGAAAGTGCAGAGCAAATAGGAAACAAAAAACATCATTAGAGGAATGTGAAGGCTTTGGAGCCTACAGTTATAGCAAATGTCATACTTGTCTCAACTTTTAGCTAGATGAAGATAAAAATACTAGAAGCCTGTGTTCCTCAGTTCCTATTACTGCATATAATATGTCAGTTTTCAACAAAAAAATATTCAAAGACATGCCAAGGGCAAGAGAAAACAGTCTGAAGAGACAAAGCCATCAACAGAACCATACCCAGATATAATATGGTTGTTGTAGATATCAGAGATGAGATTTTAAATATCTATGTTTAAAATGTTAAGGGCCCAAATGAATACAATGAACTTTTAATACTCAACAATAAGAAAACAAACACCTAAGTTAAAAGTTGGGAAACATCTGAAGAAGCACCTCACCAAAGAAAATATAAAGATGGCAAATAAGCATATGAAAAGACTTTCAGCATCATAGTTCATTAGAGAAATGCAAATTTTTTAAAATGACGTTATGGCACACCTACTAGAATGGCTGTCTTTATTCAAATGGTAGTACCAATGCTTTTGAGGATATGAACAATAGGAACTCTCACTCATTGATGGTAAGAATGCAAAGTGGCATGGCAACTGTGGGCATAGTTTGACAGTTTCCTGCAAAATTAAGCATGGTTTTCTGTACAGTCCAGTAATCACACTCATAGATCTTTGTCCATGTTATTCGAAAAGTTATGTCCACATAAAACCTTCTTACAAATATTTATAGGATATTTTCCTCTAATCACCAAAAACTGTAAGCAGTAAGATATTTGTCAATAGGTGAATAAATAAACAACTTTTGGTGCATTTTTATAATAAGATAACACTCAATGATGAAAAGGAATGAGTTATCAAAACTTACAAAAATGTGGATGAATTTTAATTGCATATTGCTATTTTGAAAGAAGCCAGTTTGGACAGGCTATTCACTGTAAAATTCAATTTATATGACATTCAAGAAAAAGTGGCACTTTAGAGACAGTAAACGTAGTACCGTTTGCCAGGGGTTTGGGCAGGGTTTTGAATTTGTGAAGCACAAGGGATTAGTAGTGTGGTGAAACTATTTTATATGATACTGTAATAATAAAACATGATACAATGCTTTATCAAAAGGTACAGAACTTTACATCACACAGGGTGATCATCGATGTCTACACAGTTTAAAAAATCATTTAGGCCGGGCGCGGTGGCTCACGCCTGTAATCCCAGCACTTTGGGAGGCCGACGCGGGCGGATCACGAGGTCAGGAGATCGAGACCATCCTGGCTAACACAGTGAAACCCCGTCTCTACTAAAAATACAAAAAAATTAGCTAGGCGTGGTGGCGGGCGCCTGTAGTCCCAGCCACTTGGGAGGCTGAGGCAGGAGAATGGCGTGAACCCAGGAGGCGGAGCTTGCTGTGAGCTGAGATCGCACCACTGCACTCCAGCCTGGGAGGCAGAGCAAGACTCTGACAAAAAAAAAAAAAAAAACATTTAGGTGGGCAGAGGATTGTAAGGTAAAATGCAGAATGTGACAAAAATGTCTAGTTGAATGAAATATGTATGTGAAACCTCACTAAAGTGAGTGGTTGGAAAAGGTGCTGGCCTAAGTGATTTTTAAGTGAGTGGGATCTGTAAGACTAAAGCCAAAGGAACTGAAGAACTGTGCATAAACACTGTACTTGAGTTGATATAGCTGTTTCCATTGGAGTAGGGGTTAACAATTCTGAAATCACTGTACATAAATGCTATAATTGAACAATTAAGTAAATTGATGTCTGATGGTGGGAGCCAAGTTTTTTTACTGTTGGACTACGATGTTGAAAATATGCAAGAAATGGAGGCTGGCATGGTCCATGTTATAATGAGTTACAGTTAGAGACATCATGCTTAGCTTATAGATACAGATGGTTACATGGAGAACTATTTATACATAAGTGTATCGATCAGATCAGTACTAACACATATATTTCCCTCCTCTGTCAGCTGAGAGGGACTACAAATAATAACGCCCCAGTAGCATGAGTACACCTAGCACAAAGAACTTGTTTTCTGATACCATTATTGCATAAAGAAACTAAATCTTTTTGAAAAGATGTCTTACTTTAGGTCTGGGGCCAGAAATATGCAAATGAGACTGGAGGTTCTTGTAGTGCCAGAAGGAAAGAAGTACTCCAAAACGCCAATGATGGGGTTTTGTCAAAGGAACACGGGAGCCAACTGAAAGAGCTGTCAACAGCGAAACCTGGAACAATTTGAGAAAAAAAAATATATATATATATATATAAATATATAAATTGCTATTGGATTGTGACCCAAAAATATACAAGATAATTTAAAGTATTAAATATCTATAACAAATGTATAAAAGTATAAAATGTATATATGTAAACATATGTGTATATATATAGGTAAAAAAAATCTTTAGAACACACTAATACAAATAAGAGATTGAATAAAAATATAGAGGAGAAGAGAAAAATCTCCTGTGAAAAATAATTTCAAACAACGTATGTAGATGTGCCACCACTGGAGAGGTGGAGCACAATTTCTACTCCTTCAGTTTGGACTGTGCATAGTACATTTATTCTGAAGAGTATAATATAAAAAAGTGGGGGAAGAGATTAACTTTACAGGGGAGAAATGTGATAAACACTACCTCAATCAGGTGATCAAGGTTAACAGTAATATTAATAGTGATAAGTGGTAGAATGTATCCTTGACATGATGTGAAGAGAATGTACGTTACTATTTTGGTTTTCCTCCCTAAAACCCATAACCACTGTGTCATCATGAGAAAAACGTCTGACAAATTTCAGTTAAGGGGCTTTCTATTATTAAAAATATCTGATCAGTACTCCTTAAAACTGTCAAAGTTTTCAAAAACAAGAGAAATCTATGAAACTGTCACATCCAAGAGAAGCCTAAGAAGACTTGATAACTAAATTTAATGTCATATTCTGGGTAAGATCCTGGAACAAAAAAAGGAAATTGGGTAAAAATTTATAGATCTGAAAAAAGTATTTGATAATAATGCCCCAATGTTGACTCATTAATTGTGACAAATATGGTATATTATTGCAAATATTACTTACAGTTGGAACTGGGAACTGTAAGCACATGGGAACTCATCATAATCTTTCTGTAAATCTAAAAGTATTACAAAATAAAATAATTTTATAAAGACAGGGAGAGAGATTAAGAGAGTTCATGAAAGTAGATGTGTTCCAGGAAGTCTCGTGCCACTAAGCAGAGATAAGACACCATTTCAAGAAGAAAGAGGTAAACCACTGCATGGAATATTGAAGGAAAATTAACATACTATGAGAGGAATGATTGATAAATTTAACACCAAGTAGTAAAGCTGCTACTATCATGAAACTCTTCTTTAGGGCAGCTGAGTAGGTTGGCTTTCCAGGTGAGAAAACCACCAAGTGAAAGGTGTTCAAGTAAATTAATAAAAAGTTTCTATTGCTTCAGTTCTATATATTGCTTTTAACCATTTTCAACATACTGAATTATTAATCACTTGGAACCCAGGTGAGGTTCATTTGTGTGAATTTGTATGGGTGGCTAACAGCACAGACAGTTTCACCACCTGGGGAAAGTAGAAGGACAGCATAGCCTGCACTTTCCAGTTGGCAAAATCTGGAGGAACAGAGGAAAAGAACTGCTGGCAGTGGGCATGGGAAAACTCTGCCAGTTCTTTGGTTGCACAGTTGAAAACTCCATGTGCTTCCTGTCACACAGCAATATTTTCACACCTCTTGTGCCATTAATTAAGTTTTCTTTATCCTCCTGAATTCAGAGAAGAGACCCCCATCATTGAACGTTGAGATCCATTTATCATGGGGGCAAGCATGGGATATATTCAATATTGGATGGTTTTTCCATTATCATTTCTGCACAGTAGAGCTGAGTTAGGTGTGAAACATCACATATATTTGCTAAAGCAGTTGATCTTGTCAGAGAGCTAAACCTTTTGGGAATAATCATTCAGACCATCTGTCTAAGACTGGGTCATAAATTGCATACTTTTATTTCCATAGAATTTTATTCTGTAGCATTAGTACGAGTTGAATAGTTATTAACAGACTGTGACTTGAATAAATGAATTCTACTATATGTCAACAGCACTGTGGAATTTCAAAATTATAGCCTGAATAGGTATATATATATATATATATAAAATAGTTTATGTCAAATATGGACATTGTATGTAGTCATCATTTAAGTTGGTTACCTAGTCAAAGAAATTACCAATAACAAGTAGAATTTACTTTTGGTTAGTTCTTTGTTGTTTCTCTCTTTTCTAAATGGGCAATTTATGTCTTGTGTTGTTTTTATTTTTTTTACTTTGAAATAATTATTGATTCACAGAAAGATTTGAGAAAATATACAGAGAGGTCTTAGGTACCCTTTGCCTAGGGGACACATCTTGCAATGCTGTAGTACAATATCTAAACCAGGAATTTTATACTCATAATCCAAAGAACTTATTCAGATTTCAACAGTTTTACATGCACTTGCATGTTTGGGTGTGTATTTCTACAGAATTTGATTGCGTGTGTTGATTCCTGCAACTACCAGCACAATCCAGACGCGCAACTCTTCCATCACACTTACCAGCCTTCTGCTACCCTTTTTTAGGCACACCCACTCCCCTCCCGCATTCACAACCCCTGGAAATCATTCATTGCTTCTCCATCGCTATAACTTTGTTATTTCAAGATGAAAATATATATGCTTTCATCAAAACCTGTAGAACGTAACATCACAAAGCGAGATCATTGATATATACAAATTAAAAAAATATTTACAAGGTTAGAGAACTGCAGAATAAAATGAAAAATTTAACAAAAATATCTAATTGAACTAAAAGTATATGAGAAACCTCACTAAAGGAAGCAGTTAAAAAAGATGCTGGCCTAAGTAATTTTGTAAATGAGTGGAATATATATATATATATTCTCCATTATGTAACCTATTTAGATTGGCTTCTTTCACTCAGCATAAATCCTTTGACATTATTTTTTAATTAAACATATAGTAACAAATCTCAACTCATTATCAAAATCCCTTAAGTCACTTTAAAATTAGATTTCTGAGCCCAGACAGCAAGGATTTTGGAGATGAAGAATGTGATTTCAGCATCTATTGGCTGAGGATCTCTATGTGTATGAGAAGACTAGACTCTTAAGGTGGGAAGCTTGAAATTTCCTCTGAAGATAATTTATCTTAGTCTCTACTTCCTAAATATTTGTGTTAGGGAGCAAGGTGTCAGGCCTGGGCTTTTAAAGGCTGAGGCAGCTGGTGATGAGGGCCAGTGGCATACTGTTGCTGGGTCAAAACAGGATGGTAATGGCCAGAATACCACAATAAGATGATAAGAGTTGAACAGAATGACATGCTCTTGCATTTGACCTGGCTCTACCCTGTCTCACCAGTTCCTTTTCCTTGTCTCTTCCTAGCTTCACATGAGTAGCTAGAGATAGGCCAGAGGTCAGCATGCTTCAAGCTGGCCTGTGCTACATGGAAAGAGTAGATGACAAATTTATTCACTGATTCCAAGCCCACACTAGAGGTCTGGTCCACTTGACATAAATCAATTTTTATTATTCCAAAAGTCAAAAGGAATATGGGGAAAGGGGGAAAGCATTATATAAAAAAGACTAGCATATATAATATATACTAAGTTATCCTCTAGGTATCTACAAGGAGAATGAGGCATACAATTTTTTTTTAAATTCAGGTGAAGCCCCTATTCTCTAAGAAGAAGCAGACAAAAGAAGCAAAGTCTATTTGTGTCTAAAATATTTGCCACTTACCAAGGGATACTCTGTAAGTATAATCTTGAGAGGGAGAAACCATATTACTTTTGTATAACTAGTGCATTCTAGAACCTAGCATAGTGCTTGGTCCATAGTATATGTTAATATCGATCATATAAATAACATTATGAGGTAGTAATTATCTCCCTTTTATGGTAGAGGAACAAAAGAAAATTGATTAGTATTCATTTATCTGAATGCCTTTCTTAGTCACCATCTAGACTTATCTGAAATCCATGAAGTATAATCAGAATACAGCTGTTTCTCTATATTCACTGGGTTCTATTTCTAGGGTTACCCGCAGATAACAATATGTGTATTTGTATGCTTAAGTCCCTTATATAAAATGGCATAGTATTTGCACATAACCTATGCACATTCTATTGTATGCTTTGAACCAGCATTCCCCTACCTTTTTGGCACCAATGACCAGTTTCACGGACCAGGTGGCAGTAGATGATTTCTGGATGATTCAAGAGCATTACATTTATTGTGTGCTTTATTTCTATTATTATTACTACATTTTAATATATAATGAAATAATTATATAGCTCACCATAATGTAGAATCAGTGGGAAACCTGAGCTTGTTTTCCTGCAACTAGTTGATCCCATCTGGGGGGGATGGGAGACAGTGACAGATCATCAGACATTAAATTCTCGTAAGGGATATGCAACCTAGATCCCTCACATGTGCAGTTCATAATAGGATTGTGCTCCTATGAGAATCTAATGCTGCCGTTGATCTGACAGGAGGTGGAGCAGAGGTGGTAATGTGAGTGATGGGGAGTGGCTGTAAATACAGATGAAGCTTCACTGATTCACCAGCCCCCTTACCTCCTGCTGTGCAGCTTGGTTCCTAACAGGTGGGTACTGGTCCTTGGGCCAGGGATTGGGGACCCCTGCTTTAAACTATTTCTAGATTACTTATAAAACCTAAATACAATGTGAATGCTGTATAAATAATTGTTATACTGTATTATTATGCACATTATTTTTATTGTTGTATTGCCATTTTTTATTTTTTATTTCGTATATTTTTGATCCAAGGTTGGTTGAATTCATGGATGCTGATTGTATTTAGAACTCCTCTTGAGTTACAGTTATTATTACAAGTGACACCAAATATAAGACATGCATGTCCTGGAATAGCAATGGAACAAGGCTTTGGGAACACTGCTCTAAGCAGGCCTTTCTATGAGAATGTGAGCCACTTAATGAAGGAGGAAATACTTCATCTTCTTGTTACTCTCACTGACTAACGTGTGGACTGGTACACAGTGAGTTGTAAATAAAATGTGCTGTCCTGATTTGAATTGTTCTAATCACAGCTGGTCGTTAGAACCTGGTGGGAATGGATTTTTTTTTTTTTTTTTTTTTTTTTTTTTTTTTTTGAGACGGAATCTAGCTCTGTCGCCCAGGCTGGAGTGCAGTGGCGCGATCTGGGCTCACTGCAAGCTCCGCCTCCCGGATTCACGCCATTCTACTGCCTCAGCCTCTGGAATAGCTGGGACTGCAGGCGCCCACCACCACGCCTGACTAATTTTTTTTTTTTTTTGTATTTTTAGTAGAGACAGGGTTTCACTGTGTAACATCGAACCAAATTAAAGAGTTTGTTTGTAGGAAAGACATTTTTGATGTTGTTGCATCATTTCCTTTTTCCTTTTTTTTTCTTAAGTTTAATGGTCAAAAGAGATGATTTCATTAGTTTCCTTTCCTCCTTCATATTTTCACTGTGTCCTCGAGGATGAATTTATAGATTTTTCCAGAGGACCACTTTTCCAAAAAATGTTTATAAATCACTACATCTCATATTAGAAATTTAAAACGAAAATCTATTTCTGTGGATAGCAATTAATTAATCCCTCTTACCCGTCCACAAGATCACAAATTTAATAAGTGGTGACAATGCAAACATGAATTCTTGAGGCATTAGTGACATAAGCCAGTCATTAGAATTCTATTTCATATTTTTTTCTAGATAAGAGAGATAAAATATCTCATACTGGGGAGGAGTGTTAGGCGTCTTTTTTGTTGTTATCCACTGATTTGGATCTGTACTAATTCTGAGTAAGGGTCAAGCATTCATTAACAATTTGAAATGTACCTTTTAAATTATTTTATGAGTTTATAGATTGGTGTAAGTCATATTTATGTCATGTTAAAAGGAGGGTGCTTGTTGATATAAAGAGAAAAATTAATATACAAAAAAGTAATTTTAGCATCCTGCTATAGTGTAGAGACCTCCACTGAATAAATCCCCCACAGATATAGTATCTTAAGTTATATCTTAGAAACTGCGTGGTAAACATGATCACAATTGCTATTGCTTTTTAGGAGAATATGAGCACGTAATTTTATGAGACTACTTTCGTGCATCATTAATTTTAATGGAGCTCTGCATAGAGAAATATTTTTTAGGTATTACATAATGCATAGCAAGACCTATGATTCCTAAATAATACAGATAATATTATTTTCCATATAGGAATTAATAAAGAATTCTACATTATGATTTTAGTTGTTTCTGGCATCAAATCCCCCTCACTACCACCACCAACAGCTTTCCTATCAAGCCCAAAGTACAAAATTCATATACCGTTTTGTTTCTTTTTTCTCAAAGAAAACACATCTCAGAGCTAGGGCATAATAAAAATGATTCATTATTAGGAGATTACAAGTGAGTTCTGTGTGATTAGTTATTTCATTGTTGAGGGAAAATTCATTCAGTTAACATTAAAAGAGATAATTGATTTAATTCCTTAGAAAAGGTAAGGAAACTTTAAAACATCAATTTAGGACATATAACTTAAGGAGAGTGAGTTTGTGAAAGTGCCGTGAGAAAGCAGACCACTGGATTGATCATACAAGCTTCTCAAAATAAAAAATTCAGAAGTTAACCTATGCATCTATAATATATGAACAGCATTACATAGTGAGGTCGGTCATGGCAATGGGTCAGTTTTTGTAGGTTTGAGTCAGATGTTAATATGTTATCACTGCAGACTGGGGACTTATATTTAATTTGATGCCTCATGTTCAGAAAAGAGTGCTGTGTATTGGCATTTGACCATATCTGTCAAGTTTCTAGACAGGAAAATTGAAACATATTAGCTTTATTCATGTATAGTTAAGTAACTAGCAAGAACCTCCCTTCTATTGCTTTTTCTCCAAATTTGAAGACAAAAGGCACCTGAGTCTTATGGAATAATCTCATTTTTCCTATTTTTTTCATAAGAAATTATTCTTGTTTTCCTAACTCACTTGGATAGTAATACCAAGGAATTAGTCCTTATTCTACTTCCAATCCATTCATTTGCTTCCAAGTAGCTTCTCAGATGAGGAGGGGTAAAATAGATCAAGAAGGAATAGACAGGAGATCACATTTGTCTGGTACAACTTATCTTAACTGTTCCTCCTTTTGTAAATTATCTCCTCTTCCTTCTGAATAAATATGGTTTCCTTGTTGTAGTCCTCAGTAAACAAAGTCACTTTCTAATTTGTCTTAAAGTTACATCCAAGCAGGGAAAATAAGTTCTAGAGTTTTTAAATACGTTCTCAGTCTCCATTCTAGACCTTCACCATAGTCTTAACAATAAGATAATTCATATTAAAGCAAGCACATATGTTTCCATACATATAGCCTTTATTTTGTGATGTTGATTGAAAAATCACTTCTTTATTTTAAATACTCTCAGGTGCCAAAACTAGAAAATTGGAAGGTTATGACATTTACAAGTGATTTTATTTTTATTTATTTATTTATTTTGAGATGGAGTCTTGCTCTGTTGCCCAGGCTGGAGTGCAGTGGTGTGATCTCGGTGCACCACAACCTCTGCCTCCTAGGTTCAAGCTATTCTCCTGCCTTAGCCTCCTGAGTAACTGGGACTACAAGTGCATGCCACCATGACTGGCGAATTTTTGTATTTTTAGTAGAGACAAAGTTTCACTATGTTGGACAAGCTGGTCTCAAACTCCTGACCTTGTGATCCACCCACCTTGGCCTTCCAAAGTGCTGGGATTACAGGGGTGAGACACTGCACCCAGCCACGAGTGATTATTTAGACATGTTAAGGTAATTCTATCCTACCTGTCTTCTCTTTTTTATTAAAATATTTTCAGTGTCTCATTATCAACATTAGCTTAAGTAAAAGGGTTTAATAAATATTAGCCCCAAATTACGTCCTGCCCTTGTCATCATTTTATGAATTTATTTTGCTTAATCCTCAAATCTCTATAAGATAAATATTATTATTAACTTTTCTAACTGAAGGTTTGTTTGCAAATATGGTCACAAACCCTCTCATTGTATCCTCTGAGCAGCCACATTTTGGTATTGTGACTTCCTATGCAGATTCTGGGCTTGATCCTGTTATTTGCTCTGGCCAAAAAAACTACTTTAAATTTCATATGGATCCAAAAAAAGAGCCTGTATAGCCAAGACAATCCTAAGTAAAAGGAACAAAACTGGGGACATCACGCTACCTGACTTCAAACTACACTGCTAGGCTACAGCAGCCAAAACAGCATGGTACTGGTACCAAAACAGATATATAGACCAGTGGAACAGAACAGAGGCCTCAGAAATAGCACCACACATCTACAACAATCTGATCTTTGACAAACCTGACAAAAACAAGCAATGGGGAAAGGATTCCCTATTTAATAAACGATGTTGGGAAAACTGGCTAGCCATATGCCAAAAACTGAAACTGGATCCCTTCCTTATACCTTATACAAAATTAACTCAAGATGGATTAAAGACTTAAACTTAAACCTAAAACCATAAAAACCCTAGAAGAAAACCTAGGTAATACCATTCAGGACATAGGCATGGGCAAAGACTTCATGACTAAAACATCAAAAACAATGGCAACAAAAGCCAAAATTGACAAATGTGATCTAATTAAACTAAAGAGCTTCTGCACAGCAAAAGAAACTACTATCATAGTGAACAGGCAACCTACAGAATGGGAGAAAATTTTTGCAATCTATCCATCTGATAAAGGGCTAATATCCAGAACCTACAAAGAACTTAACAAATTTACAGGAAAAAAACAACCCCATCAAAAAGTGGGCGAAGGATATGAACAGACACTTTTCAAAAGAAGACATTTTTGCAGCCAACAAACATATGAAAAAAAGTTCATAATCACTGGTCATTAGAGAAATGCAAATCAAAACCACAATGAGATACCATCTCACAGCATTTAGAATGGCAATCATTAAAATGTCAGGAAACAACTGATGCTGGAGAGGATGTGGAGAAATAGGAACGTTTTTACACTGTTGGTGGGAGTGTAAATTAGTTCAACCATTGTGGAAGACAGTGTGGTGATTCCTCAAGGTTCTAGAACCAGAAATACCATTTGACCCAGCCATCCCATTACTGGGTATATACCCAAAGGATTATAAATCATTCTACTATGAAGACAATGAAGACACATGCACATGTGTGTTTATGGCAGCACTATTCACAATAGCAAAGACTTGGAATCAACCCAAATGCCCATCAATAACAGACTGGATAAAGAAAATATGGCACATATAAACCATGCAATACTATGCAGCCATAAAAAAGGATGAGTTCATGTCCTTTGCAGCGACATGGATGACGCTGGAAACCGTCACTCTCAGCAAACTAACACGGGGACAGAAAACCAAACACCACATGTTCTCACTCATAAGTGGGAGTTGAACAATGAGAACACACGGACACAGGGAGGGAACATCACACGCCGGGGCCTGTCAGAGGGCAGGGGGCTAGAGGCGGAATAGCATTAGGTGAAATACCTAATGTAGGTGATGGATTGATGGCCGTCGCAAAACACTATAGCACGTGTATACCTATGTAACAAACCTGCACGTTCTGCACATGTATCCCAGAACTCAAAGTATAATAAAAAAAAATCTGAGCCACCTCAGAATGATGTTACTGGACTCTAACAGAGGTCATAGATCCAAGGTTAATTTTTGCCTATTTTTATATTATGGATATAAAACTGTGTTTTTGGAATTATTTTTTGATACAGAATATCTATCACAATGACATGATAGATCTTGAAGATATGGAAAATGAATAATGACATGCATAAATGTTTCTGTACTGTTAGACTCCTACATTGCTTCTAAATTATCAACTGTTAGCAAAAGTTGAGGTAGATATCACAAAACTGACATCTAGTCTAGTAATCTGCTACCTATTAATTAAGTTTTAACATTAGCAACAGCCATATAAGGTAGTTATGACTTAGATATTATAGGCGAGGAGATTGAGGCTCAGGAAGGGAAGTAATTTTTTTCATTAATGAAATTTATAAACAATAAAATCAAAATTCAAGCTCTTCTGACTCAAAAGCACATGTTATTAAGCATCACTTCAGACATTTGTTGTAGGTGTTCTAAGTTATATTAATCTTCACACTATTCACTTGAAAAACGGAGTGGCATAAATGCCCTTTTAAATCACTTTGCTTCAAGACCATCTGATCTCAGCCTACGTTGTTGTTAAAGGCGTTCAGGCTTGCAGATCTCAAAAGAGAGATTTTTTAGTAATTTTCAAATTCCCCTGGTGAGTAGGAAGAGCCCTGAGGCTCTCTGTGCCATATAACTTGTGCCCTCAGTCAAGTCATTAACTGGCTCTGAGCCTCCAAATTTCCATCTGAAACAATGGAAATACTTACCTTAACAAACATTTGGAAGGAAATTGCTTTATGCATCAAGCCATCATTGCGATTTATCCTCCAGGGTTCACACTATTAACATTTCACATCTAAATTATTTTGATTATTCATGCAGTTTTTTAAAAACATTTTAAGGGCCACCTAATTTAACTTCAGGTTTTATATGAAATAGATAAAATTAAGTGCCCTGGAAAGGTGAAGAGTGTGGAATTGGGAGCCCCGCCTCTGGGTCTCAATCTTGACTCCCATGCGAGCTAAGGCATTGCTATAAAAACCTTAAAGATCTGGGAACAGAACGTGAACCATGCCACTGATTAAGCGAATCTATTTCTTCCGTTATTCTGAGCCCATGCATTCAACCAATGGCTAGTACAGTGCCTGGCACATAAGATAATCTAAATTCAACAAGTTATTCAGTTTTACTATATGTGCTGCTGAAGCAAGCACACCACATGTTATTTAAACAGTATTAACACAAAAAGATAAGTGATATACTCCTATAGTGTTTCAGATAATCCTTCACTGTATTCACTAAATGACTGCTGTCTGCCTTAAGCATATTAATCCAACTCTGTCAAACACAGCACATGTCAAGCTCACAAATCATCTTTGTTCCTGGGTTTAACAAGCTGACTTACCTGATAATATCCAGTGATATCCTTATAGGAGCTAATTAGAGAAATGCTGTAGAAAATGATTTAACAAAATTAGTATAAAGTGACTTTCACTTAGTGTACCCATGTTGGTTTATATTGATCTCCACTATTAATTGCATAGTCTTACTGTTTAAAAATGCTCTCTAATTATTAAGGACCTTAGCTTGATTTGCTTCTGATTATACCTCCTCCAGCCTACTTTCCTGATCTAGATTAACTTTTTTTGTTATTAAATTTCTGACTTGCAAAACAAATTACACATGAATATAATAGGTCTAAAGACCAGCAATAGTGCCCATTACAGAACAGATAATTATAACTCTGATGCTCAAAAGACCTATTTAGAAAGTAGGAAGAAACCACTATCACATAACATTGCTTAAACACTGGGAAAAGCACAGTGAGATTTGTCTTTTTTTCTGGATTTTTTAAATCAGTGTGACTCTGGCATAAGTATAATGAGACCTATAGGTGGAAGAAAGTAAAAACATAAGGAAGAGGTATAAAGACCAATTTTTTTTCCAGGTAGGCTCACACAGTTGCAAGTTATAAAGTTAGAAAAACAACTTTGGTTTAACTGACATATATTGATTTTTAAAAATACAAAAAAAGAAAAACAGAAGGTAGCCAAGATGGCTGACTACAGGCAACTGGTACCTCCTCCAAAAGAGAGAACAGAAGTAGTGAATAAATAATTACCATTCGAACTGATCACCTAAGAGAGAATGCTGTAATTTAACAGAGAAGTGATAGGAAACACCTAAGACAAGGAAGGAAGCCAGGCTGACTGCTCAAGGAGCTGAAATTGGCTGGGAACCTTGAGAGACTCCCTAACGTGGGGTAAGGATAAGTGAATGACCCTCAGCAGTTTACATTCCCACTGTAAACTCTTGAAATCCTAGCCACTGGCGAATGTGTTGGCCAACATGGGCCCTGAGATGAGCATAGGCAGCTGCCTGGGGACCACATGATGGCACTGCTGCAGAGAGGAAACACAATGGGTCCCCCTACCCCATCATAAGCAGCTATAGTAAGATGTCATTTTGAGATCCCAGTTGGCCACCCGATTATATCTTGCCCTGGAGCCTAACAACCCTTGCATATCCACATCCCTGGAGCTCAGTGACCTTATTCACCCCCAACTAGGTGCCTTTGCTGGCTGCTGCCACCAGGGTCAAAGCATGAGACATTGGCAGTTACCCACCCCACTGCCCCCAGTAACAGGACTGCCACACATATATAAGAGCCCTGAGGAAATGCTCCCCCACTTGCAATCACCACCTGGGACTAAAGCACATGCTCTTCAACTGCCTGTATATGGTTTCTGTCACTGAAAATATTCCTGTCCTCCCCGCAGCAGTGCCGTGGGGCAACCATTTCTGCTTCCACTGGAGCATTCTTGGGGATTTACCTTCCTCTGCCTACCACAGCCAACACCTGCATGCAACAACAGGAGGTCCAGCTCCATACATGCTTCAGTGCCTAGGTATGCGATCCCAGGGTTAGGGGATTGCCTTGAACTATTCACCACAATTGGCACTTGAGCACTTATTCAGGAGCCTAAATACCAACTCATCCAACCTGCAGCTCCCAAGACGCTGGTACTCACCTGTATGTACTACCTGCAGATCTGGGGATGAGCCTGTTCAGTCCATTGCAAACACCATCAACACCAGTGTAGACTGCTTGGGAGCCAGGTGATTGTTCAATCACTGTTACTGTGATCACCCACTCCACACCAGCTGCCAAGTCATCTGAGGAGTCAGCAACTCACCAAACCTACTGCTGCCACTGCTGGCACAAGCAAGATGCCTGGAGGCCCAAGAATTGGCCCACCTGGACCCACTAACACTGATGCCAGCATATACTGCATGGGACACAAAGACAGGCATGCTCAGCCCACTTCTGCTACCACTGGAGCCTAAGGACTGTCTCAACTGAAATCCCTGTCCCCAGCAAAATTTTACTGCAGCCTCCACTAAAAACTCCACCCTAAGCTGCAGAGGAAACCACAGACATCACTGATGCTGTTTACAGCAGAAGAAATCAGACAGAGACTACACTACTGCACACACCTAGAATCAAAGCCAAAGTGCCCTATCCAACCAACAACAGAGCTACATCTTCAGAAAAAAAGTCTTTCTCTATCCTTCATTTTTGAAGGACAGATTTGTCAGGTGTTAGTATTCTTGGTTGATAGTTTCTTTTTATTCCTATACTTTGAATATGTCATCCCTCTCTCTTCTGTCGTGCAAGGTTTCTGCTGAGAAGTAAGCTGAGAGTTTTGTAGGGGCTCTGTTGTACATGACAAGTTGTTTCTTTTCTCTTTTTGTCTTTGTATTTGACAATTTGATTATAATGTTTCTCAGTGTAGATTTATTTGTCTTCATCCCATTTAGGGTCTCTCATGCTTCATGAATCTGGATGTCCATTTTCCTTCCAGATTTCAGAAGTTTTCAGTCATCATTTAAAAATGTTTTCTACATCTTTGTCTATCCTTTCCTTTTGAAACATCCATAATGCATATTTCTTTTAATATGGTGGTATCTCATAATCACTTAGGTTTCTTTTACTTTTTAAATTTTTTTTTATTTTTGCATCTCTAACTGGATAATTTTAAATGGCCTTTCTTTGACTTCACTAATTGTTTCTTCTTGATCATGTGTACTTTTGAAATCCTCTAGCAAATTTTAGAGTTCAGTTATTGCATTCTTTAGCTCCAGAATTTCTGTTTGGCTCTTAAAACATATATATTATATATGATACACAAATATATCATATATAACATTATATAATATATAATATACATAATATAATATATAAAATACACTTACTATACGTATATTTTATATAATATACATACTATACATATGTATTATATATGTGTATTTGTGTGCATGTTTATATATGTATATATATGTACTTTTTTTTTTTTGGTACAGAGGCCTCACTGTGTTTCCCTGGCTGGTCGCAAAATTCTGGCCTTAACAAATCCTCTGGCCTTGACTTCCCAAAAATGCTGGGATTACAGGCATGAGAAACAATTCCCAGCCTGGCTCTTTATCTGTAGTTTCTATATCTTTGCTGATATTCTCATTTTGTTCATGAATAGTGTTCCTAATTTGGTTTAGTTGTCTAATTGAGTTCTCTTGTGATTCATCAGGTTTAAGTCTTTTTGTCAGTTGAATTATAGATTTCCCTTTCTTTAGGGTCAGATATTGGAAATTCACTTTGTTCTTTTGATTTAGTCATGTCTCCCTGATTCTTTGTGTTTCTGCAGCTTCATGTCGGTATCTGTGCATTTTTTTCTTAAAAAAATTTTCTGTCAATCTTTACTAACTGACTTTGCCCAGAAAAGACCTTCACCAATCAATCTAGAAATTTTCAGAGCCTCTCATCTCTTTTCTATGGTGTGTCTTGCCTGAACTTGTCTGTGTAGATTCCTAGTTAGAAATATTTATTGATTTTTTTCTTTCTTTTTTTTTTTTCCAGAAGCCCATAATCTCTTGCTCCCTATTGGTCTATTGCACTGCAGAGCACCTTTCCCCCGCCACCCCTTCCAGGAAAAAGCCTTGAGTTGTGCACCTTCTCCCGATCTCATCAAGTCATGCAGGCCTGAACAAGCCACCTGTCTCTCTTCTTTGTTGTTAGCTATCCCCAGGAATTGGAACTTGGCAGCTCCATCAGTGCTCCACGTGAGTCAAGACAGAATCTGGTGCACCAAAAAGCTGCAGATGTTGCACACATGCTCTAAACTCTTTTTCCCCTGGGAGAGAATTCATGGGTCAAGGTGATCTTGCTCAGCTCTCAGTTTTGCCAGCTTGGGGAATGAGCTGAAGCAGGTAAAGTGAAATTATTATTCTTATTCATATCAATGCTGCTGTTTTCAGTTTTATACCCATATGGGATGTTGAAACTTTTTAACTGGATTATGGATATTTCATAAAGGCAAGTTGGTACACATATAATTATTTAAAAAAAGTTTCTGTGAGAGAATGAGGACTAGATCATCTCGCTGATGTCCCCCTCAATTTACTAGTGTTTTAAAGAGGGTTTCTGCCTCCATGGAAATGTCATTCTAATACAAAGTAGCAGACTATAAACAAATTATTAGTTTTACAGTTTAATAACCATGCTATTTATGCAAGTTACTTATTATATTTGAGTCTTAATTTCCTTAACAATAAAATAAAAATATATGCATTTATAATGTTTGTTGATAGGTCTGCGTACATCAAGTGTCTGGAACAATTAATTGAATAGCCAGTATTTCCTTTTCTTGATCTCATTTTAAATGCTATGTTCAAAGACTCAGATATCACTTTGTCCTTTGCCTGATTAGATATAGATACAGATGATACAGATTAGATATAGATCTAGATATAGATATGTATTGGTCCAAAAGTATAGTGTAAGATTCATGGCACAATCATTTTACATCTACAAAAATGAAATGAGAAGGATTAATCATTTAATTAATCTTCATCTAAAGGGACAATGTTTAGCTTGCATAATGGGTTACTGATTCAGTGACCCTCTCAGCATATAGGATCTCTCTCCTACTGTCCAAAGCATCTTATAGGCAAATAAACCACTTTAGATTCCAAGCTGAACATTTCCCAATCTATGTGTCGTTTGCCATTTGTGTACTCTAAATCTCGGTCACTCTATTTTTCAGTAGCCTATTGGAAATCCTTCATATTACTCATCAATCTTTCAGTTCTTTTAGTAAATGATCACTGAATCAAGATATAGTTCCTCAATCAAGAGAAACGGTAAGAAAAGCACTGTTCTCCTCCCTGTGCCCATGTGTTCTCATTGTTCAACTCCCACCTATGAGGGAGAACATGCAGTGTTTGGTTTTCTGTTCCTGTTTTAGTTTGCTGAGAATGATGGCTTCCAACTTCATTCATGTCCTTGGGGCAAGGGACAGGAGAGCATTAGGACAAACACCTAATGTATGTGTGGCTTAAAACCTAGATGACGGGTTGATAGGTGCTGCAAACTACCATGGCATATGTATACCTATGTAACCAACCTGTACGTTCTTCTGCACCTGTCCCAGAACTTAAAATTTAAAAAAAGAAAAGCACTGTTCTTTCTAAATAAATTTCTAATAGGAGTCATTCAAAGATGAAATTTTGGAGTCAGAGTAACACACTCAAATTTGTGTATTTTAAGTTAAAAAGGCTCAGAATGCCAAAACTTAGAACATGACAATAGTTTTAACATTAAACACAAGCATAATATGCAACATCCCTTTATATATATCAATCTAAAGTGTTACCGTTTGCATTATGATATCAATGTGGCTCATTGTGGATTTATTAAGTCTTTTAGTGGCAGATGGTGATATTACAGTTCATATACGATCCAAACATTTGTAAAGGCAGGGAATACTTCTTCTGACAAGTTCAGCTTTCAAACCCATAGCAGAGATCCTGTTATGCTATAATATGTGCTCAATAAATATCTGTTAGATTAATGAATCAGTAAATTACTGGTTCACAGCACTTCATTAATTAGCTAAATTTGATTGAAGTACTATGACAAAATTAACTCATTTAATCATCAAAATTGTCCCATATGTTCTTATGCACACTACATAAATGAGACCAGTTTAATTGGAGAGGGCTAACCTTAACAAAATTGCGTATGCCCCAAAAGCATACACGTTGCATCAACCTTCAATTAAAACAGATGATATTCATTATACAATATTCTTGGAATGTTCCAAAGCTTACTATGTGTTCATTCATTCATACATACATATTAATCTTTTGAATAAAAACAGCACGCCATGTTCCATTTTATAATTACTGGAACACACTGGTGGGTACAAATAGACATGATCTTTGTTTTCACTTAAGCTCACAATCTATTGGCAGACGCATACTTTAATCAAATAGTCACACATATAAATATAAAGTTATAACTCTAATTACTACATATGTGGCATGCATAGTTCTCTGAGATTTACAATAAGGAATTCTGGCATTATGTGAATGGTCAAGAATGGTTTGGTTTCCCTGTGAGAAGATAAACAAACTAATTTATTGAGAACAGAAGGCCAGTGCTTTCCAGGCAAAGGCAATATGAGTCCAAATACTTTCCCTGGAAGACGTGTGCTTGTGAATAGGCCCTGAAGGAATCTGCAACTAGAAAGCAGAGAGAGCATCAGTGTAGAGAGGTATGCAGAGGTTCGAATAGGCTGAGTTTTATAAGGGAAGTAAGTATTTTCAACATTATCTTTGGTGAAATGGCAAGTCATTAAAAGATTTTAAGCAAAGGAGTTACATGATCAGATTCCTGCTTTAAAAAGAAAACAATGGCTGATAGTCTCCTCCCCGTCAGATATAAACCTACTTAGATGTGGAAAGTAATTAATGGTTAGAACCACTCTTTTTAATGTAATTGTTTTTGCTCTCTTTTTTACCCATCAGAGAAGGAATTGAGAATTATCTTCATTGATGCTTTAATCACTGGAGAACTGTTTCACTTGATCAATCCTTAGAGTTCATTCAATGTTATTTACTTTACAATAACAGGAAATCTCCCAAGTGTCATTCTTGTAGTCTGGGTATAAATTTCATAATTATTAACAAAAATGTTCAAATCCAGGGTCCATCTACCAAAACTGAAAGGTTGCTTTAAAAATGTTTAACAACTATAAAGTTATCAATGGAATTATTATTTAAATTACCTAATAGTAAAATTTAGGAATTAATTTCAAAAATGATGAAAGGAATGAGACTAGCAACATTTAGAAGATAGTATAAAGAGAGCAATTGTGTGAAATAGCCATTGTCCCTGGACACACTTAATAATTACAAACACTTAAATGCATTATTGGTTCCAAAATGGCCCCATGCGGAGTACAGAAAAGAAAGGACATTCATTCTCCAGATAGTAGCCTGAATTGTTTTCCAGAAATAAGCTATGTGTATTAATTTATACAATACATTAAAGTTGAATCATGCATATAAAGCTATTATTTTAAAACATGAAAGCACTATTGTGTTTTTAAAACAAGTATAGGTGATTTCTTGGTCTTTGAGCTGATCCAACTGAATCTACTCATTGAATTGGCTAAATAATGTCCAGCAATTTAAATCAGCTTCCTATATACCAGTAAAGAGAAATACTTTTTATATTGAGCACGTAAAGTGCAGTGTAAAGTCATTGTGTGTTGGTGTCAACCATGCTAGTTTCACATTTCAACTCTGCACTCTTAGGCAGAAGATGACAGAAGTTAAAGTGCTTTGCCTCACTTAAAAATGGGTATTTAGTTAAAACTATGCCATAGACTTACTTTGAAAATTAAATGGAAAAACTACTTTAAAGTTCATATGGAACCAAAAAAGAGCCCGCATCACCAAGTCAAACCTAAGCCAAAAGAACAAAGCTGGAGGCATCACACTACCTGACTTCAAACTATACTACAAGGCTACAGTAACCAAAACAGCATGGTACTGGTACCAAAACAGAGATATTGATCAATGGAACAGAACAGAGCCCTCAGAAATAACGCCACATATCTACAACTATCTGATCTTTGACAAACCTGAGAAAAACAAGCAATGGGGAAAGGATTCCCTATTTAATAAATGGTGCTGGGAAAACTGGCTAGCCATATGTAGAAAGCTGAAACTGGATCCCTTCCTTACACCTTATACAAAAATCAATTCAAGATGGATTAAAGACTTAAACATTAGACCTAAAACCATAAAAACCCTAGAAGAAAACCTAGGTATTACCATTCAGGACATAGGCATGGGCAAGGACTTCATGTCTAAAACACCAAAAGCAATGGCAACAAAAGCCAAAATTGACAAATGGGATCTAATTAAACTAAAGAGCTTCTGCACAGCAAAAGAAACTACCATCAGAGTGAACAGGCAACCCACAAAATGGGAGAAAATTTTCGCAACCTACTCATCTGACAAAGGGCTAATATCCAGAATCTACAATGAACTCAAACAAATTTATAAGACAAAAACAAACAACCCCATCAAAAAGTGGGCAAAGGACATGAACAGACACTTCCCAAAAGAAGACATTTATGCAGCCAAAAAACACATGAAAAAATGCTCACCATCACTGACCATCAGAGAAATGCAAATCAAAACCACAATGAGATATCATCTCACACCAGTTAGAATGGCAATCATTAAAAAGTCAGGAAAGAACAGGTGCTGGAGAGGATGTGGAGAAATAGGAACACTTTTACACTGTTGGTGGGACTTTAAACTAGTTCAACCATTGTGGAAGTCAGTGTGGCGATTCCTCAGAGATCTAGAACTAGAAATACCATTTGACCCAGCCATCCCATTACTGGGTATATACCCAAAGGACTATAAATCATGCTGCTATAAAGACACATGCACACGTATGTTTATTGCGGCATTATTCACAATAGCAAAGACTTGGAACCAACCCAAATGTCCAACAATGATAGACTGGAGTAAGAAAATGTGGCACATATAAACCATGGAATACTATGCAGCTATAAAAAATGATGAGTTCATGTCCTTTGTAGGGACATGATGAAATTGGAAATCATCATTCTCAGTAAACTATCGCAAGAACAAAAAACCAAACACTGCATATTCTCACTCATAGGTGGGAATTGAACAATGAGAACACATGGACACAGGAAGGTGAACATCACACTCTGGGGACTGTGATGGGGTGGGGGGAGGGGGGAGGGATAGCACTGGGAGATATGCCTAATGTTAGATGAGGAGTTGGTGGGTGCACCGCACCACCATGGCACATGTATACATATGTAACTAACCTGCACATTGTGCACATGTACCCTAAAACTTAAAGTATAATAATAATAATAATAATAATAAATAAAAAGAAAATTAAATGGAACAGTTTACACAAAGAACCTAGACCATAAAAATCATTAATATTAATTATTAATATATTGAGCACATCCCAATACTCATGCAAGGTATTTTAGAACTGTTAACCATATACAGTTTGATAAGATATTTTTCATCCCTTAACCCATGTTTTAACATAATTCATATTGTAAAAGTTTGTCTTGGTGAACTGATCTATTTCCTTTATTTTATGACAAAAGCCTTGTGTACCACCTTGTGTTCCTTTTGGCTTTGCCAGCCAGTGGGTTCAAGGTAATAGCTTCTAAATCCAAGCCACCATTCTTAACTGTTTTTTTTTTCTATTTTGTGAATTCTCCCTCCATCTTTGCTAATGACTAAGTTACGTAGATTATTCTCATTTTGGTTGTGTTTTTTTTATCTATTTCCAGAAAGAATTTTATGTGGACTAAGACCATGTGTATAAATACAGAAACAAATATAAATGCAAACAGACATGAGAATAGAGTGCCTAATCCTCATCTCTATCTCTAAATGCCTCCAAGGATGATCTACGTCAGCAGCCACAAAATTCACATAAATGGGCATATGACATCCTGACAGCTGTTGTCACTTCAGCTGGTCATCTCTTCTCCCAGGCTACTTTAACTTACAGATTGATTGACCATTTCTCCCTCTCTGGCTTTACCCATCATTTCTCACTCTCCTGTCCCCAAATCTGGTAACTTTGTAATCTGGTTTACCTCTTTGCATCTGACACTATGTGTTTCCACTTCTTTGGGTTGGGCCTTCTGTAATTTACTCGAGTTTACCTTACATAAGATTGAAGTGTACCTTACATAAGGTTGGGTTGCCCGGGGCAACCCATCAATTCTGAAGCCAAGTCCTGAAGGAACCCCCATCAAATTAAGAAGCTGGCTATGCATGCTGCAAAGAGTAATACATCTTTTCATGCTTTTATCTGACTTTTAGTCAGAACAGACACACATCTTCATTGATCTTTAATAAAATGAGACCTTCAAAAAAAATGAAAAATTATTTTCCATTTCTACCAACCAGCAGTGTATTATTTTGTATTGTAAGCTCCATAATTTAGAATACTCAAATAATAGGAATCTATTTCAATAACAAATTCATCCAGTTATTAGGAAAGACAAAAGGGATGCACTTTTTAAATAAAGATGTGACAGGATTAGAAACCAATAGAAATCATCAGAAATTTGAAGAAAAAAATGTATTTTCTTCTCTCAGTTAGCAATTAGACAGCTGTATTTTGCATAAGCTAAAATTGATACCAGGAATACTGTGCTCAAGTTGCTTGAGCTAGAAATAGAATTGAATACAAGTTAGGGTGAAAAGATTCTCCCTGAATGCCCATAAGACCCTCTCACCCATATCTGGCCCATGTTTCTATATTCATGGCTAAGTGAATTTTTTCCCTTTATTGTAAACTGCTTGTCTGGCTTTGTTTTCTTTCTTTCTTTCTTTCTTTCTTTCTTTCTTTCTTTCTTTCTTTCTTTCTTTCTTTTCTTTCTCTCTTTCTCTTTTTCTTTCTTTCTTTCCTTTCCTTTCTTTCTCTTTCCCTTCCTTCTTCCTTATCTTTTTCTTTCTTTCTTCCTTTTTTCCTCTTCTTTTTTGCTCTTTCTTTCTTCTTTTCTTCTTTCTTTTCTTCTTTGCTTTTACCTTTTCCTTAAATAAGACAAATTTTTAATTGACCAAAAAAAACCAATGTTAGTATTTAAAGCAGGAAAAATGAACAAGGAGATATATAAAGAGGTAGAGAAAGAGAACTACATGACTTGAATTCATGGATATTTCCTTAGACCTTTCCAGCTCTCTAACCATCTATCTAGTTTTTTACTTAAATCTATAAACAATATATCTATGCTTTCTAAATAAAATATGTAGGGACCAAGTTAATCTAAATAATAGCCTTTAAATTACATTCTTCGCATTCTTTTAATACACTGAAGTAGTTTAGCTCATGTTTTACTAATCTCCCTGAAAAAAAGTGATCATATCTCTTTGGAATCAATTAGTAAATAAAGGTATTTTTGTGGCAATTGGCGATACTATCTAGAACTAACATTTCATATTATGCCCTGATAAAAAGAAGGTATCAAGATCAGCATTATTTAATTTATATGGTAAATTTTTAGACAAATAAAGAATGATAAGGAGTACTTACGTTGTTTGGCTTTCATTTCATGAGCTATTTTGGAAAAAAATGAATGCATGAGTAGAGAAATAATAGCACTTTCTGCCTTCTGAATTAGCTCATATTTTGGAGGAAGATAAGACTGTGATGAGCAGTTGGGGGTCTGTATCATGCATTAATGCAAAACCACTCTGAAATCTTGCAGAAAAATACACACAGTATGTTGTATGATGAAACTTCCATTAGCATTTTATTGTTCCAATGATACAGCAATTACTCATGCATTCTCAAAGTCTTTTTAGTCACTCCATTTTGAGCAATGTCTTAATAATATATGTAATAGCATTTTACCTGTGGTAGTAATATTATTGATCTTACACCATCAACGTTAGCAGCGTTTTTAAGACCCATTACCTGATTGTACAGTAGCCCTGCCTGGGAAAAACACATCACTTTTTCTGTTAAAGTTTGGCAGACAATAACACAAAAAAAGCAATTTTACCTGCTACAGTGTCTGTCTGCTTACTTGATAATGTCAATCAATAAGTGAATTCACTTTTCTACAGTCTCTGGTAAACAAGATGTCTGCTCCATTTCAGATGCAAACAAAAAGAAAAGAGCCAAGATATGGGCTGGAGGGGTTGTCAAATAAAAATGTTTTGCATAATGTTTAAGGGGCATTTGGGGTAAGATTGGGGCGTAGGGTGTGCAGTGAAGATACTAAAAATAATATCCTCTAAAGAAAACATTGACTGAATTACCCATGGCAACAGCAGTATGGTAGCCTGGAAAAAAACTTAACAGAGATAAGAGGTTTATTTCTTTCTTAATAGAGTTATGATAGGAAGCCATTTGAATTGAAATACATTTTAAAATATTCAGAGAGAAAATAAACCACCTTACCTGGATAACCAGATTTCTATCACTTCATCACCTATGTACTATGTATCTTATATCTGCCTAGTGAATATGGGGCATTAGAAAGACAGTATTTTCAAGAAACATCGGGATAATTTAGGGCAATTTTGTAAAAAGTGCAAAGAATTCTAAGGCACTTTAATATAGCTATAGAGCCAAAGAGAAACATGAGTAGTAATCCTCACCAAACATGCACATTGGATCTGAGTATGAGTAGACAGAGTTAGGCTCATGACATGTGTCTGCTCGGATCCCAATCTAGAGTTTATATGGATGCATGGGGAAGTTGGGTTTTGATGAAACTATTTTAATACTGCATTTTTAAAAAAAGCAATACGTGTTTACAAATCTTTCGCACCAATAGTTTGGGATGTCATAGAGTCAACATCTCCATCTTTTTCCTTGAAGACAGACACTTTCCTTTGATTTCTTCCTTGCACAGTTGTGTTCCACAAATTTGGTTTTTCTTTTTCTAAATTATTTAAGATATCTGAGGGTCCCCAAAAAGTAAACAAAAGACATGTTAAAAAAAATACAAAGGCAGGTTCGTAGGGTCACAAAATTATTTAACCAAATTTATTACAATGATAATTATATATGTTAACCACTTTTAGAGAATAATATGTGACAGGCACTAGGCTAAGATTGGAAGCTTTAAAGGTCCTGTCAAGAAAACAGATGGAACACTCAAAAGGGTTTATCTAAAAATAAAGCAAGAACTGTTTACAAAAACTGAAGGAATTTAAACATTTGGAGGAACGAACAAGGGATGGTAAGACATGAAGGGGCTGCCATGGTGAGAAGTCGTTTTTTTGTTTTGTTTTTTGTTTTGAGACGGAGTCTCGCTTTGTCGCCCAGGCTGGAGTGCAGTGGCGCGATCTCGGCTCATGGCAAGCTCCGTCTGCCGGGTTCACGCCATTCTCCTGCCTCAGCCTCCAGAGCAGCTGGGACTACAGGCGCCCGCCACCGTGCCCGGCTAATTTTTTTTTGTATTTTTTAGTGGAGACGGAGTTTCACCGTGTTAGCCAGGGTGGTCTTGATCTCCTGACCTTGTGATCCGCCCGCCTCGGCCTCCCAAAGTGCTGGATTACAGGCGTGAGCCACCGCGCCCGTCTATAATGGTGAGAAGTCTTTAACCCCCGAGACTGGAGAACAAAGGTTGCAGGTATTGGAGGCCAATGCGAGCTAGAGTGATGAATAGAAGCTGTCCTTCAGGAGTCTTAGCCTCAGATGAACTCAAACACTGCCAGTGAAAAATAACCTGACCTCCCTTTCCTCCTTCTCTACCATCTCCTGTAGGTGCTTTCCATTACTGGACTCAACAAGAAGTAAAGGGCACAGGAGGCACATACCACGCAATTGTACAGGTCAGTCTGCTGGGACATGGAGTAGTGAAAGGAAGGGCAGAGAATTGACTGTATGTATTTAGGGGAAATGGAGAATAACCTGTATGATGCTTCACACCAGTTAAATCCTACCACACTCATAAGATTGCCCTGTGTTACAGTTGAAAAACATCTTGACTCAGAGTAGAAGAGTGACAGCCAAAATCAGCGAACTAGTAATTGGTAGTGATGGGCTCAATCACAGCTCTGTTCGATCTCATCACCACACATACACCCCCACAGCCCCATACAATATTTTTATTTAAAAGATTAAAATGGATTGGAGAAACTTCAATTGGACAGAAAGTATTCATTGGGTTTGAGAAAGTTTTGGAGTAAAGAACTTTACGGTTCATAAACATTTTGAACAGTCTTGCAATTGATTTTCACAGCAACACAATTGTCAAGTTAGGAAAGGAGTTTTATTTCCATTTCTAGAGAAGAAACTTCAACTCAAAAAGGCCCGGGGGTTGGTTTCCAGTCATACGATCAATGCTAGAAGTTGCACTCAAATCCAGGCTGCCTAAGCTTCAGTCCAGTGCTTCTACCCTAACCACAACCACACACCATACTACATTGTTCAACATGGCTTGTGCATCAAAAGAGGTAGCATTTTATACTCATTACGTTAATCTTATGTAGTTACTGCTGAGCAATAAATAAATAAATAAATAAAATAGCACGCCTATCCCACTGGAGTTGTTTCAAACAGTTGTAAATTCTATTTTTATAATGTTTATGTGTTTTGATTTGTGGATAATTTCTTGGCCTACAAAGAAAATATTAATACATTATTAACTGAACCCATAGTACAACTGGTGATGACCTTTTGAAAACCTGAGATAAGCTGATGAGAGCAGCTCCATGCAAAATAATAAAGGTCATTCAGATTTAATCATTTAATTTTCATAATGCAGATGTCAAATAAAACCTGCTTAATAAAGTGTGTATTTTGAAAAAGAGAAGATGACACCATGAATTATATCAGTTGAACTGCCACAATGCATTTTGGTAAATATTCTCTATATTATACAAAATCTGAGGATTATTTCCCCCAACAAACAGGAGCTCAAATGAAGAAAATGGCAGTCAGGGCCTATGCTTCCATGTGTAAAAAGCTTCTGACCTAGCTGCACCCTAAGAATGCAAACAGCCCCACTATGTTAAGTGAAATATTGCTGCGTAATAAACCATATTTAGTGATTTTAAATAATGATGCTTTATTGTTTCTTACAATTCTATAGGTTGGCTGGATTTAGCTGGGCAGTCCTTCACTAACTGACACTCTATTTGGGATGACTCATGTGGCTTCACTCAATGGTGAGCTCTGCTGGGCTGTGACATTAGAGATGGCTTTACTTACTTGTCTAGGACATGGTTGCTGGTAGCCAGCTGGGGAGCCATGACTTTTTGTTTATGTGACTTCTGTTTCCACATGGCTTCTCATCATTCAGTAGAGAAACCTTAGTTTCTTTACATGGTGCCTGGGTTCCAAGACAGCAAAAACTCAGTTCTTATGACCTAATCCCAGACCTGGCACAATGTTACTTTGGTCACATTCTATTGACCAAACAATTTCTGAGGCCAGACATAAACTCATCTCTTGAAGGGAGGAGAGCCATGCCCAGGTATGGATGGGGGGATTGTGGTTGGCCATCTTTGGAGACAATCTTCCATTCCTATCCTGGCCTAAATTTCAAATCTAAGCAAAGGGTAGAGTTTAAATACAACTCATAGGTTGAGAAATAGAAATACTTTTGGCAAAAGAACAAGATATCATGTAGTCCAGGGCAGAACGTTTTTGTGATTAAAGTAATATGACTTATTAGAGAGATTCAAAGATGAGACCTGGAAGATACGCCTGACTTGAAATTATCCGGCTTATTATACCTCGATATCTATGAGTCAGAAAATGTATTGAATATGTTCAGCCTAATCCTTTTTTTGCTACTATTAGGACTTATGACTATGCTTGTCATCACAAGATAGTTCAAGTATTTGTACTTCACAAGGGGAAGAGTAAGTTTTTTAACATTTATTGATCAAACGTTTTGTGTCACACAATTTAGCTTATTTAATATTCATGATAACCTAATGAAGTATCAGTATACTCCATTTGTTCATTCAATTATTTTTTATAATACAGCTTATTATATTCTAAGCATTATTTGGGGCATAAAAATATGGCAGATAGCAAAATAGACAAAGATTCAATCCTCCCAAAGCCCACATACAAGTGAAGAGTAAGAATTATTTTAATGTTTGTTCATTGTCTGTTAATTGACAATCAATATTGTAAAGAAAATGTACACATTGAACAAATCCTACAGGATTTCACATTATTTGAGATGATTACATTGTACATTATTCCTGATGAACATAAAAGATATTTGATGAGGTGATATTTGATTATAGTTTGATTTTTCAAAATTAATGAAGCCAAAAGCTTTTATCTCACCATTACGCCCCTCTGTCTGATGCCTACCCTTTTCCTGAAATATAATAAAAATACTGGCATTTTAAGATGAATTTCTCCAGAGTTATTTGTATATCTGTACAAGCTAATAAAATTTGTCACTTCACCTTTTTACAGAATAAATAAAGGTTATAATATAAAACGATACACTCTTTTTTACCCTTTGATTATACAGAGACATGCTTTACTCTTTTCAAGAAATACATAGTGTGCCATGACACAAATGTTTCATAAGCTATTTAACTGGTTGGTAAAATGAAATTTTAGCTGAAATCTTAAGAAAGTGACAAAATACGATATGTGAATATATGAGCAAGAAATAATTCTTTTAAAAGTATAAACAGCAAGCACATGTTTTCTGAGTCAGAATCACACTGGATGCTAAGAAGACTACTGAGAAGAGCCATAAGATTAATACAGAGCATTAATGCAGTGTCATAAGAAATGCGGTTATCCAGGAAACTGGGGACAGAACCGGTTGATCTCGTAGTTAATTTTGGATTTTATTGTGACAAAATAAACACCCATTAGAGAGTTTTGAATATATAACTAACATGCTAGGGTTTACAATTTAAAAGTATTACTCTGGGAGTGGGGGGCAAGATGGCAGAATAGAAGGCTCCACCAATTGTCCCCCTTGCAAGGACACCAATTTAACAACTATCTACACAGAAAAAAATACCTTCATAAGAACCAGAAATCAGGCGAGCTGTCATAGTTACTGGTTTAAACTTCATCTCATTGAAAGAAACATGGAAGAGCTAGAAAAAAACAGTATTGGATCGCCAAAGCCATCCCTTCCCCATCCTCTGGCAGTGGTGGTGCTATGCAGAGAGTGTTTCTGGGTGCTGGGAAGGGGGGATCACAGCAATTGTGAGGCATTGAACTCACAGCTGCCCCATTAGAGCAGAAAGGAAAACCAGACGAAACTCAGCTCATACACATGCACGGAGGTAGCATTTAAACTAGCCGTAGCCAGAAAGTTAATCACCAATCCCAGCAGTTGGAACCTAAGTTGGGATTAAGTGCTTTATGCTCTAAATAAACTTAAAAGACATTCTAGGCCCTAAGGACTGTAACTTAGAGGCAAGTCCAACTGGTCCCAGAGACAGACTGAGTGGAACATGTGACCTACTCTGACATCAGCTAAGGCAGCTAAGGAAGGGCTGACATCACCCCTTCTCTAATTCGGGCTGCACAGCTCAGGACTCCAGAAGAGACCTCTTCTTTCCACTTGAAGAGAGGGGAGGGAAGAGTGGGGAAGACTTTTTCTTCTGTCTTGGATACCAGCTTAGCCACAGCAGCACAGGGCAGAGAGACTCCCCTCCAACCTCCCTATTCTAGGCCCTTGCTACCAGACATTTCTTGACACACTCTGGGCCAAGGGAAACCAGCTGCTTTGAAGGAAAGGACCCAGTCTTGAAAGAACCCATTCATAATCTGCTAACTAAAGAGCCCTTGGGCCCGGAATAACCAGCAGCAGTATCAAGGTACTATACCAAGGGCCTTGCATGAGCCTCTGAGAATTGCTGGCTTCAGGTTAGACTCCGCACAATACCAGCTGGGTGGCTACAGGGCAAAACTTCTTCTGCTTGAGAGAAGCAGAGGAAAAAGTAAAGGAGACTTTGTCTTGAACCTTAGGTACCAGCACAGCCACAGGTGGGTAGAGTACCAAAAAGGCTCTTGGGGTCCCCAATTCCAGAACTTGCTTCTTGGACAGCATCTCTAGACCTGCCCTGGACCAGAAGGCAACCCATTGCCCTGAAAAGTGAGTCCCAGGCCAGGCAACATTCACCCCAAGCTGACTGAAAAGATCTTAGGCCCTAAGGGAATATCAGCTATAGTCTGGCAGTACACCCTGTGGCCTGTGGTGGCAGTGGCCATGGGGTGAGGCACTCTGCCTTTGGAAAGGTGAAGAAAGAGTGGGAAAGACTGTGTCTTCTTGTATGAGTGCCAGCTTAACCACAGTACAATAGAATGCCAGGTAGCAGGTAGACTTCTAAGGTTTTTTACCCTGGTCTGTGACTCCCAGACAATACCTCTGGACTGACCCAGGGCCTGGAGGAACTCATTGCCCTGAAAGGCAGGACACAGACTTGGCTGGCTTTGCCACCTGATGATATTTTTCTTTTTTAGATGGAGTCTCGCTCTGTCGCCCAGGCTGGAGTGCAGTGGCGCAATCTCGGCTCACTGCAAGCTCTGCCTCTCGGGTTCATGCCATTCTCCTGCCTCAGCCTCCTGAGTAGCTGGGACTACAAGCACCTGCCACCATGCCTGGCTAATTTTTTTGTATTTTTTAGTAGAGATGGGGTTTCACCTTGTTAGCCAGGATGGTCTCGATCTCCTGAGCTCATGATCCGCCCACCTCAGCCTCCCAAAGTGCTAGGATTACAGACGTGAGCCACCGCGCCCAGCCTGAAATAATATTAAGCATCTGCTCTGACCACAGTGAAATACAACTAGAAATTAATAACAAGAGGAATTTTAATAGCTATACAAATACATGGAAATTAAACAATATGCTCTTCAATGACCAGTGAGTAAATAAAAAAATTAAAGAGAAAATTGAAAAATGTCTTGAAACAAATAATAATGGAAAAACAACATACTATACTACGGGATACAGCAAAAGCAGTACTCAGAAGGAAGTTCATAGCTGTAAGTGTCTACATCAAAAACAGAAAAAAACTTCGAATAAATAATCTAATGATGCATCTTAAATAACTATGAAAATTAATAAAGATCAGAGCAGAAATAAATGAAACAGGAATGAAGAAAACAATACAAAAGATCAATGAAACAAAAAGTTGGTTTTTTGAAAAGTTCAACGCAGTTGGCAAACCTTCAGCCAGACAAAGAAAAAGAGAGAAGATACAAATAAATAAAACTGTAAATGAAAAAGTAGACATTACAAGTGATACTCCAGCAATTCAAAGGATCATTACAGGATACTGTAAACACCTTTATGCCAATATATTGGAAAACCTGAAAGAAGTGGACAAATTTGTAGACACATAAAACCTACTAAGATTGAACCAGGAAGAAGTTCAAAACACATGAACAGACAATAACAAATGATGAGATCAAGGCCATAACAAAAAGTCTCGCAGTAAAGAAAAGGCCAGGACCCAATGGCTTCACTGCTGAATTCTACCAAACATTTAAAGAAAGTTAATACCAATCCCACTCAAACTACTCTGAAGAATAGAGGAGGGGGGAAACTTCCGTACTCATTCTGTGAAGTCAGTATTGCCTTGACAACAAAATCATACAGACACATCAAAAAAAGAAAACGAAAGACCATTATCTCTAATGAATATTGATGCAAAAATCTTCAACAAAATACTAGCAAACTGAATTCAGCAATATATTAGAAAGATCTTTTGTCATGACCAAGTAAGATTTATCAACCCTGGGATGCAAGGATCCTTCAAAATATGCAAATCAATCACTGTGATACATAATGTCAACAGAATAAAGGATAAAAACTGTGTGATTGTTTCAATTGATGCTGAAAAAAACACAATAAAATGTAATATCCCTTCATGATAAAAACCCTTAGTAAACTGTGTATAGAATGAACATATATCAACATAATAAAAGCCATATACAACAGAACCACAGCTAGTATTATATTAAATGGGGGAAAAAACAAAAGCCTTTCCTCTAAGATCTGGAACACAACAAGGATTTTTTTTTAGAAGGATTCTCTGTCACCCAGGCTGTAGTGCAGTGGCACCAACTCGGCTTACTGCAACCTTTGCCTCCTGGGCTCAAGCAATCTTCCCTCCTCAGCCTCCCAAGTAGCTGGGACCACAGATGCTCACCTGGCTAATTTTTTATATTTTTGGTAGAGATGGGGTGGTTGTCAGTAGTTATAAGGTTGAAATAATAGGTTATAAAATAGTATTCACAATCCTCATGATAGTATTTGCAAGCCTTGTGTTACCCAGGCTGGTCTTGAACTCCTGAGCTCAAGTGATACGCCTGCCTTAGCCTCCCAAAGTGCTGGGATTATAGGCATGAGTCACTTTGCCTGGCCAGGATGCCCACTTTCACCAGTGCTTTTCAACATAGTACTGGAAGTCCTAGCTAAGTAAATCAGATAAGAGAAAGAAATAAAAGGCATCCATATTGAAAAAGAGGAAATCAATTTATCCTTGTTTGCAGATGATATGATCATGTACTTGGAAAAACCTACACTCCAGAAGAAAACTATCAGAATTGTTAAACAAATTCATTGAAGTTGCTGGATACAAAAGCAACAAATAAAAATCAGTAGCATTTCTATATGTCAACAGTGAGGGATCTGAAAAAGAAGTTAAAAAGTAATCCCATTTACAATAGCCAAAAATAAAATTAAACACTTAGAAATGAACCAAAGAAGTGAAATATCTCTATAATGAAAATTATAAAATGCTGCTGAAAGGAATTAAAGAGGACACAAAATATGGAAGAATATTCTATGTTCATAGATAGGAAGAACCAATATTGTTAAAATGTTCATTCTACCCAAAGCAATCTACAGTTTCAATGCAATTCCTATCAAAATACCAATGACATTCTTCACAGGAATAGAAAAAGACCCTAAAATGTACATGAATCCTCAAAAGACCCAGAATAGGCACATCTATTTTAAGAAAAGAGAACAAAATTGAAAGAATCACATTACTTGACTTTAAATAATACTATAGAGCTATAGTAACCAAAACAGCATGGTACTGACATGAAAACAAAGACATAGACCAATGGAACAGAATAGAGAACCCAGAAACAAATCCACACACATACAGTGAACTTGTTTTTGACAAAGATGCCAAGAATGTACACTGGGGAAAAGGCAGTCTTTTCAGTAAGTTGTGCTGGGGAAACCAGATATCCATATGCAGAAAAATGAATCTAGACCCCCTATACCTTGCTATATACAAAAAGAAAATCAAAATGGACTGAATACTTAAATCTAAGCCCTCAAATTATGAAATTATTACAAGAAAACATCACAAAAACTCCTCAGGATATCAGTCTGGGCAAAAGTTTCTTCAGCAATACCTCACAAGCACAGGCAACAAAAGTAAAAATGGACAAATTGGATCACATCAAGTTAAAAAGCTTCTGAAAAACTATCACAAGAACAGAAAACCAAATACTGCATGTCCTCACTCAAAAGTGGGAGTTGAACAATGAGAACACATGGACATAGGGAGGGGAACATCACACATGGGGGCCTGCTTAGGGGTGGGGGACTAGGGGAGGGATAGCATTAGGAGAAATAACTAATGTAGATGACGGGTTGATAGGTGCAGCAAACCACCATGGCACATGTATAACTATGTAACAAACCTGCATGTTCTGCACAAGTATCCCAGAACTTAAAGTATAATATATATTTTAAAAACTTCTGCAAAGTAAAGGATACAATCAGCAAAGTGAAGAGACAACTCACAGAATGGAAGAAAATATTTGCAAACTTCCCATCTGACAAGGGATTAGTAATAATATATAAGGAGCTCAAACAGCTGTATAGGAAAAAATCTAATAAGCTACTCAAAAACTGGGCAAAAGATTTGAATAGACATTTCCTGAAAGAAGACATACAAATGACCAGCAGGAATCAGAAAATGTGATCAACATCACTGATCATCAGAGATATGCAAATCAAAACTATAATGAGATATCATCTCATCTCAGTTAAAATTGCTTATATCCAAAAGACAGACAATAACAAATGTTGGTGAGGATGTAGAGAAAATGGAACCCTCTTACACTGTCAGTGGGAATGTAAATTAGTACAACCACTATGGAGGACAGTTTGAGGTTCCTCAAAAAACTGAAAATAGAGCTACCATATGATCCAGCAATCCCTCTTCTGCATCTATACCCAAAAAGTATATTGAAGACATATCTGCACTTCCATGTTTATTGCAGCACTGTTCACAATAGCTAAGATTTGGGAGCAACTTTAATATACATCAACAGAAGAATGGATAAAGAAAATGTAGTGTGTATACATATATATACATACAATGGAGTACTATTCAGCTGTAAAAAAGAATGAGATCATGTCATTTGCAACAACATGGATGGAACTGGAGATCACTCTGTTAAGCGAAATAAGCCAGACACAGAAAGGCAAACATCACATGTTCTCACTTATGTGTGGGGTTTAGAAATTAAAACAATTGAACTCGCGAACATAGAGAGTAGAAGGATGATTACCAGAGGCCAGGAAGGGAGGTAGGGATGGTTAATGGGTACAAAAAAAATAGAAAAAAAATGAATAAGACCTATTATTTGATAACACAATAGGATGATTATAGTCAATAATAACTTAATTGTACATTTAAAAATAACTAAAAGAGTGTAATTGGGTTGTTTGCAACTCAAAAGATAAATGCTTGAGGGAATGGACACCCCATTCTCCATGATGTGCTTATTTCACGTTGCAAACTTGTATCAAAACATCTTGTATACCCCATAAATATATACATCTATTGTATACCCACAAAAATAAAAATTAAAAAATAATTAAAAAATAATCAGTCGTCACAAACAAAAAAATAAAAATAAAAGTGTTACTCTGTTTTCTGTATTGAGAATAAATTCTAAGAGAGACAGTATGGAGGCAGGTAGGCCAATTAGAAGACTTTTGCAGTAACTCAGGCCTTAGATAATGATGAGTTGGACTAGTGGTAACCAGAGGACATAATGAGCATTGGTTAGATCATAGTTATATTTTGTAGTTAGAGTCAGCAGGATTTGATCATGCATTGAATCAGCAATAGCAATAGTGAGATTATGCAAAGAGTCAATGACAATGTGAAGGTATTTGTCCTGGGTCTCTGAAGGAATGGAAGGGTATGAGTGAAATGAGATTGAACATAGGGAACACAAACTCTGATGTCTACAGGAGCCAGAAGGTCATGAGAAGAAGAAAAGTGAACTGGGTTTATGTTTATATGGATTAATGGTGTGAATCATGGATACTGTTTTAGCTAGGGCAGTCTTGGTCCACATAATGGAATCGGCTGTATCCAATTGTTTCCATGAGGTAAGTAGACCTAGAATTTGTTTCCGAATCTTCTAATTTTTCAAGAGAATTTTGAAGGCTGCCATTTTGAAACATCTTTCCCCTTTTTCACCAAAATCAATCAACGAGGCAAGCAAGTCTAACTCTTAAAAACTAAGAGTCAGAGAACTTGAAGTTTGACTAAAGCTTTGCAAATGTAAATTTTGTAGTGCCGGTCTTTCTGATTTCCAAGTGTTCTTGCATCACAACCTTAATATGCAATGGTCTCGACTCTGAATTCCAATCTTTCTGCCCCAATACTGTTCTGAAATCCACATTACTTCTACCAATCATCAACCTCTTTTGCTGAAATTCCACATTGTGCCATTATGCGAACTGCATTCTACAAAAAAACTGGATACAATGGAGAGTCTAGCATTTGGAGTTAAGGATGTGGGTTTAAGTAGTTTAGTTTTATTATAACCTGTCCAAAATTTTGTGTCATCAGATGTATTATGAAAGTTGTAAAACTGTATTATTGTTGTAAGGACCAAATGAGACAATAGTTTTCAAAAAGTTATCTGTAGTACTTCACATCTATGCATTAAATAAGCTTAAAATTCTTGCTTCAAAGTCGTTACTTTTTAAAAATGTTCATACACTTAGATCTACTTCTATTAAGTACTCTTTTAATAAATGAGAATTTTAATGGGGTTTTAGTAAAATAATTTAAACATTTTTGTAAATAAAGAAATAATTCCAGCCAGAGATTTATATATTCACATAAATGTGTGTGCACTGTGTACACATACACAAATCAATGTGTGTGTCTGCTGTGTACATCATGTGGGCTATGTACAATATAGAGTCACCTCTTGGTATCTGTGGGAGATTGATTCAAAACGTCCTGTGAACACTAAAACTTGCAGATGCTTAAGCCCTGATACAAAATGGCATAGTATTTGTATATAACTTATGCACTTTCTCTCATATACTTTAAATCATCTCTAGGTTACTTATAATATCTGATACAATGTAAATGCTATGTAAATAGTTGTTATGCTGTATTGTTTAGGGAATAATGACAGGAAAAATTAAGTCTGTACATGTTTAGTATATACATAATTTTAAAAATATTTTTTATTCACAATTGGTTGTATCCATGGATGTGGAACTCATAAATATAAAAGACTGACTGTATGCAAATCAACACCTGTAATATATTACATTAACAGAATTAAGTACAAAAAGAATATGATCATTTATATGGATGCAAGAAAGGCATTTGAGAAAACACAATATCTTTTTATGAGAAAAACTCTCAACAAATTAAGTATAGAAGGTACGTACATCAACACAATAAAATCCGTATATGAAAAACCCATAGCTAATACGATATTGAATGGGGAAAATTTGAAAACTTTCACCCTAAGGTCTAGAGTAAGACAAGGGTGCCTCCTTTCACCACTTCTATTCAAAATAAAAGGTATCCAACTTGGAAAGGAGAAAGTCAAACTATCCCTGTTTGCAGATGACATAATCCTACACACAGAAAACCATAAAGATTTCACGAAAATATTAGAACTAATAAACAAATTAAGTAAAGTTGTAGGACCACGAAGACAACATATAAAAATCAGGAGCATTTCCATATGCTAATAGTGAACTAACTGAAAAATAGATCAAGGAAATAATTCTATTTACTATAGCTATACACACAAAAAAAAATACCTAGGAATAAATTTAACCAAGGAGGTAAGAGATATCTTTTTTGAAAACTATAAAACAGCGATGAAAGAAATTGAAGAGGACACAAATAAATGGACGATATCACACGTCCATGAATTAGAAGAGTGAATATTGTTTAAATGTCCTACTGCCCAAAGAGACATACAGATTCAATGCAATCCCTATGAAAATACAAATGTCAATCTTCTCAGAAATTAAAAAAAAATCTAAAATTTGTATAAGGCCACAAAAGAACTGAAATAGCAAAAAAAAAACTTGGGAAAAAAAAATGGAGGCATCACATTACCCAACTTCAAAATATACTACAAAGCTATAGTAACAAAAATGCCATGGCATTGGCATAAAAACGGACACATAGACCAATGAAACAGAATTGAAAGCCCAGAAATAAATCCACATATTTACAGCTGACTGATTTTTGGAAAACTTGCCAATAACACACATTAAGGAAAGGACAGTCTCTTCAATAAACAGTGCTGAGAAAACTGGTGGTCCACATGCAGAAGAATCAAATATCCCTTTCACAATGTATAAAAATAAACTCAAAATGTATTAAAAGATAAATATAAGACCTAAAGCTATGAAATTACTAGAAGAAAACTTGGGGAAAATTCTTGACATTAGAAAGGGTAATAACTTTTTGGATATGACTTCAAAAGCACAGGCAACTAAAACTAAAATAGACAGAATGACATCAAGTTAAAAAGCATATTTTAGCAAAAGAAAAAATCAACAGAGGGAAAAGACAACCCACAGAATAGGAGAAAATTTTTACAAATTGTACATCTGCCAAGGGATTAATTCCCAGAATAAATAAGAAACACTGAGAATTCAAGAGCAACATTAAAAAAAAATCCAATGAAAAAATGAAAAATGTCAAATCACCTCAATAAATGTGTCTCAAAAGAAGACATACATACGGCAAACAGATATATAAAAAAAAGCCCAACATCACTAATCGTTAGGGAAATACAAATCAAACCCACTATGAGATATTACCTTAGTCCAGTTAGAATGGCTATTATCAAAAAGAAAAAAGGTGAGAAGTGTTGGTGAAGATGTAAAGAAAAAGGAACCTTTACATCCTGTTGTTGGAAATGTAAATTAGTACAGTCATTATGAAAAATAGTATAAAAGTTCCTTGAAAAATTAAAATAGTGCCACCATATTTTCTATCAATGCCACTACTGAGTAAATATCCAAAGAAAATGAAATCAGTATGTGGAAGAGATATCTGCACTTCCATGTTTAATCAAGGACTATTCACAATAGCCAAATATGGAATCAACCTAAGTGTCTACTAATGGATGAACAGATAAAGAAAATGTAGTATATATACATAATGGAATACTATTAATCCATGAAAAATAATGAAATTTTGTCATTTGTGACAATATGGATGAGCCTGGAAGACCTTAAGTGAAATAAGCCAAACACAAAAATGAAAATGTCTTTTTTACTCATATTTGGATTCTAAAAAGTGGACCTCAAAGAAGTAGAGAATAGAACAATAATTACCAGAGAGTGGGGAGGGGCACAGAAAGGAAGAAATGGGAATAGATTGATAGATTGCCCAACACATATAAAGTTACAATTACATAGGAGGAATAAGTTCCAGGTGTCTTATTGCACAATAGGGTGACTATAATTAACAATGATGCATCGAATATGTCAAAATAGGTAGAAGAGAGGATTTTGAATGTTTTCACTACAAAGTAATGATAAATGTTTGATGTAATGGATATCCCAATTATTCTGATTTGATCATTACACAATGCATACATGTATGGAAATGTCACATTATACCCCATAAATATGTACAATTATTACATCAGATAAAATTTAAAACATATTTTCACACACATTAAAAAATATTTTATAAATATAGAAATAAATTTAATTGTGCAATACTTTATAATAAAATGCACATAAACTGAGATGAAATGTATTAAACTGTTAACAGAATTAATCTCTAAAAATTCTATTATGAATAATTCATATTTTTCTCCTGATATATTTATCTATCTTTCCAAATTATTTACTATTTTTAACCATATAGCAAACATTATTTTTAAAGTGCAATAAATAAAAGGACTCATTTTCTAAAGGGCATAAGAAAATGTTAATTCGTATTACAATGATACCATATCTCTCTTTTTCATGCTGGTGAAATTCCAGGAACATAGATATAGTAATATACTAGCTCTACAAGGGGAAATGAAGTTAAATCGCTTTGCAGAAGGGTTCTACATTTCCTTAGTATAAAAATTTACAATAAAATTATGTGAAATAAAGAAAAAAACCTTCAGACCATTCATATTCCTAGACCAACTTGAAAAGGTTACAAAAGTTATGTACAAAGATTTCTATTGTGCCGTTAGCTAAAATGCAAATAAATTAAGAAGAGATGATAAATAAAAGCATGATTATTATTTCTTGTTAATAGATACTCCTTATTGTAAGGCACTTTTGAATAATAAAAACATACTAAACCCAAAAATTTTAATATATTTGTTTGAAACATTTCTCAGAAAAGTGGATTATTTTATATTTTCATCTTTACTCCAAGTTCTTTACATTAAAAAAAAATAAGTCTGTGTTTCTTGGTTAAGTCTGGGACTCATTGGCGATGGAATAGAAGGGGCAGTGGCCCTACATTCTCTCTATTCTTAGAGAATCAGACCTATGTCAGGCTGCTGCTGGAAGGACTGTTGGGCTGGGATCTAGCAGAGAATTATGCCCAATTGCTGGTCTTTTTTATTATGAACAAACAGTGAGAAAAACATTATTCAACAAGAAATACTTTTAGCTTGGACATCAACCAGTCTGAGAATAGATGTTAGCCCTGTAGGCAAGCATAAGAAATGAGCAGCTACTAACGTTTGAAATCCTTTGCTATCCCATGCAAAGTTACATTCAGGTATGACCTCTCTCACTTAGGTGAAGTGGGGAAAAATGTGGGACATTGTAATCCTTCTTGCTAGTGGCAGGGAGTCATCATTCCCAATCTGTAGAAAGCTCCTTGGGTTAGTCATCAGACAGTATTGCTTATCTCCACAAAAATTTTCATGGCTCAGTGTAAAAAAAAAATTCAAATGAAGACTAAATAAAATGCAAGATAGAACATCAAAAAAGAAGATCAATAATAAGGAAATAGAATCTTTGGACAACACTCTAGACCAAATAGACCTAACAGACAAATGTAGAACATTCTACCCAACAGCAGCAGAATACACTTTCTTCTCAAGTGCACATTGAATAGTCTTTGCATGTTAGGTCACACAACAAATCTTAAGAAATTTAAGAAAGTTGAAATCACAACCTTTACATTTTTCAAATGCAATGGCATGAAAATAGAAATTAATGACAGAAGGAAATCTGAAAAATTAACAAACATGTGGAAATTAAACAATGCACTCTTGAACAGCCACTCGGTAATAGAAATGAAAAGAGAGTTTAGAAATTAGAAACTATCTTGAGACCAATGAAAATAAACACACAACATATTAAAACTTCAGGCATGAGGCAAAATTATAACTGAGGGGGAATTTTACAGTGAGAAAATTTTTACTTATATTTTTGAAAAACTGAAATAACCAAACTTTACATCTCAAGGAACTAGAAAACAAACGTACGATAAAAACCTCATCATCACTGGTCATTAGAGAAATGCAAATGAAAACCACAATACCATCGCACGCCAGTTAGAACTATGATCATTAAAAAGTCGGGAAACAACAGATGCTGGAGAGGATGTGGAGAATTAGGAATGCTTTTACACTCTTGGTGGGTGTATAAATTAGTTCAACTATTGTGGAAGACAGTGTGGTGATTCCTCAAGGATCTATAACCAGAAATGCCATTTGACCCAGCAATCCCATTACTGGGAATATACCCAAAGGATTATAAATCATTCTACTATAAAGATACATCCACACGTATGTTTATTGCAGCATTATTAACAATGGCAAAGACTCGGAACCAACCCAAATGCCCATCAGTGATAGACTGGATAAAGAAAATGTGGCACATATACATCATGGAATACTCTGCAGCCATAAAAAAAGATGAGTTCATGCCCTTTGCAGGGACATGGACAAACCTGGAAACCATTATTCTCAGCAAATTAACACAAGAACAGAAAACTGAACACTGCATGTTCTCACTCATAAGTGGGAGTTGAACAATGAGAACACATGGACACAGGGAGGGGAAATCACACACCGGGGCCTGTCGGGGAATGGGGGGCTAGGGGAAGGATAGCATTAGAGAAAAACCTAATGTAGGTGACGGGTTGATGGGTGCAGCAAACCACCATGGCACGTGTATACCTATATAACAAACCTCCACGTTCTGCATATGTACCCCGGAACTTAAAGTATAATTTTTTTGAAAAAGAAATTACGTTGCATTCCAAAAAAATAAGCAAAGAACAACTTAAGCCCAAAGTTATCAGAAAGAAGGAAATAAAATTAGAGCAGATATAAACAAAATAGAGAACAGAAAAACAATAGAACATATCAAAGAAGCTAAGTTGTTTTCAAAGATCAACAAAATTGACAAACTTTTAGATAGATTAAGAAAAAATAAGATATCATTCAGCCTGTATAATGAAGGAAATCCTGTTAGACGCCACAGCATGGATGCATCTTGAGGACATTAGGCTAAGTGAGAAAAGATAGTCACAGAAGGACAAATACTGTGTAATTTCATTTACATAAAGTATCTAAAGTAGTCAGACTCATTGAAACAGAAAGCATAATGTTGGTTGCCAAGGGTTGAGGGGAGGAAAAAATGGGGGGTTGCTGTCCAAGATACAGAAAAATTCAGTCTGAAGGATGAAAATGTTCTGGGGGTATTCTGTATAGCCTTGCACTTAATAAAACAATACTCTAATGTATACTCCAATGTACACTTAAAAATTTGTTAGGCAGGTAGATATGTGTTTTTTAGCAAAATTAAAAAGCAAGATAGTATAGTTATTTTTGTTGTTGCTGTTATGGTTTTTGTTGTTAAGTGACAGGTTCTCTGAAGAGTTTTAAATACCTTTTTCTCGGTTAATCCTCACATCAGCACTAAAACAAAAGTAGAGATGAGAAAATTAAACTTAGAGAGTCTATGTACAGTTCCCAAAGCTGTAATTCTAAGAAGGCTAAAAGCTAGATTTCTAACTCAGTTCATCTGATGCCACAGCCCTATCTCTTTTTTTTTCTTCTTTGACAGAGGGTCTCGCTCTGTCACCCAGGCTGGAGTGCAGTGGTGCAATCTTGCAGAGTCCTAATTTTTAACAGCAGTGTTCTATCATGTTACCTGTAATCTCTAATATGAAAGTATAAATATTTCTTGTCAAATGAAAAGAATATGCACTTTCATTCAAAAATCAAATGAATACAGATCTTTCCTGTGTAAAACACTGAGGAGACTTGTGAAAGAAGGAAAGCCAAAGATAAAAAGTGGCAATGTAAAAGAATAATGGGATTCCATATCCAAAGAACTACAAGAACTTTTTCAACCTGGCAGCAGGTAAATATTCAAAAGTAACCATGCATCATGCTGCACATCCACTTACAATATAAATACCCAACATAAATAAATAAATCCCTATCATGAATAAAGCATAATGATCAGCATGATTCTAGTAAATCTTAACAATAAAATGAATCAAATAAGTGTCTCTGATTAATAAATCTATAATTAAATAATAGAATCCTCCTCTGAAGTACTCTTATATAATATATTTTTATTGAGGGATTTTTCAAGTCCTTAAAGATGTGTTTCTCCACAATCCCTCTGGAAAGCATGACAGATTTATACATATGTATCTATTTTTCTCTTTTTTCTTGGCATGAAGAGCGAATAAAATTTCTTCTGACTGCGTAATTCTTTATTTTAGGATCCGCGCTTAAAAAGTACCTACTATACAAGTCTGCATATTTCATTGTATTTAAATTCTCTGTACATCAATTTCTTCATCTGCAAAGCAAGGTTGATATTTCTCATAGCCGCACTGATTCTTTCAGTTATTTAAAAATAGATTTTGAGGAGCAACTATGGGAGAGACATTCTTTTCATACTAAGAAAAGTGAGGTCCCTGCCTGCTTGGAATTTACATTTTATTAGGAACAGACAGGCTTTCTTGTTTTTACATTTTTAAAATATCACTTTATAATTAGGCGTTTGATGTCAAATGGTAAAAGAGCTATTCATATAATTGAAATATGTTGAAGTGACAAAGAGTGACTGAGTGAATAGGGGCCTACTCTAGACCAGGTGGCCCAGGAAGAATTCTATAGGGGATATAATTTAAACCAAGATCTTAATGACAAGAAGACATCAACAAAGCAGTGTTAGGGAAAATTCCATTCCAGGAGGAAGGAAGAGCTAATAGGTCTTGAGCAAAATCAGTTAACAGGAGAATAAAGTCTGAACCCCAGTAAGTGTAGGGAAGAGTACTGAAAAGATACTGGGGAAATATATGCAACATGAAATACATAGAATTGTTTTTGGTCAAGGTAAGGGGTTTATATTTTAGTGTAAATGTCATGAAAAGCCATTGGATGACTTTTAGCATAATTCAAAATCTAAAATAATTTACTTGCACAAGTCATAGTCATTTTTTATATTTGCTCTCTGATACCTGTCTTGCACTTTCTGTCCTGGGGTGTTGGGAGAGGGTGCCTTGAGAACTACATTTTCTAGATGCCCTTGTCAATTGATTTCCAATTAGTTCTGCACAGTGGAAGGCACTGGCAGGAGTTTGGAGTGTTAAGCAAGGCAAAAAGCCTGCACAGCTCCTCTCTTCCTCTGTACTGAGTAGAATATCCTTCAGAAGTGGCTGCAATCCTTCAATTGCCTACAGACCAGCCCCTTTCTCCATTGTCCCATTGACACCAAATGTCTTCTGCTACTCAACTCTGGTCACTTCACCTTCTCTTTTTGTCCCCACAAGCTGAAAAGATAATAGTGGCTTCCTGTTGGTATTACTCTCTTGGTTGTCTCATCGATTCATTTTATCCTTTCTACCTTTCTAATTCCTTTGTAGAGAGGATTGAATATTACATACTCTCTGTTGATCTAGTGTAAATTATCTCTCCTGACTGTTTCATTGCTCATGGTTAAGGCAAGTAAGCATGAAGATAGTAAAAACTTATTTTCTTTATAATCTAAAGCATACTTTTAGAGTGTTTGCTCTTAATTTACTATTAACTTGGTGGCAGCAGTGTTTACAAATTGTTGGTTTTCTCATTTATTTCCTCAACCAGAGTTTTAGGTCTCCAGAAGCATACTTTTAAGTATCTATCTCTGTGTCCCTAGAACCTAACTAAGTGCCATTCAACAATCAGATATTGATAATTGAATGACTTGTCATATTGTGACACCCAAGAATTTCCAATTATTAGACCAGATGTCTAGTATAGCCATCTACTTTTGAAACTGTTCCTGATAACATGAAGCCCTTGCCAAATGTCTGTCTATATCAGACAAAGACACAGAAGTTCTCTTCCTCAACCCCAATGGGAAGTCTGATTACTTGCTACTTTGAACAAAATCCTGAGTCCAGAGACTCAATTGTTGTGTGTCATTTAATATATTAAACTCCTCCATTCCCCATTGTTGCAAATTACACACCTATTGAATACAAGAATACAAGGAAGTACCAAATATTAATATTTCTGTTGATGAATTAAATGTTTCCCTTTGAAATCCATATGTTGAAGTTCTAAATGCCAGTGCAATGGTATTAGGAGATGAAGCCTTTGGGAGATAATTAGGCTCAGTTGAGATGATGAAGGTGAAGCCCCCATGATGAGATTAGTACTCTTAAAAGAAGATGGAGAAATACCAGAGCTTCCTTTCTTCCATGTGAGGATCAAGTGAGAACCTGGCCATCTATAAGCCAGGAAGCTGACTCTAACCAAGAACTGAATCTACCAATATCTTAGTATTGAATGATCCAACATCCAGAACTGTGAGAAATAAATGTCTATTGTTTAAGTGACCCAATGTATGGTATTTTTGTTATAGCATCCCCAAACTAAGATTCTCTAAAATTTGATTTGGACACAGTGCTATACCTTAAAATATTTTGGTTAAGCTTAAATTGTTGGAAAGAATATCACAATGATCAACAGTGCAGATAGATCTGAACTGGCAATGCAAGAAGAGGTAGGTGCTTCTACGGTTCATGGAGAGCGTTTTAAGCATCTATGATGATAATAACACTACTTTTAACATCTGCTACCACTTGGGAAAAATATTTTATATCTACTACCGTTAAAAAACATGTTACATGCTAAAGATAATGTTAATAGTTATGCATCTATTAGATATTCAGCCCACAATATTTTATAAACTTGCTAGTTTCTTGAGAGAATTATTGAAAGTTAACCGTAATAGAAAATTGTTTTACAGCAAGTTATAGATGGTTTAGAGAGACTTATTTCCAACATGTTTTGGCTTTCATTTTTTGGATACTTTCTATAGTTTACATGTATCAAACTTGGATCTAGTTTATCCAAACATTATTTCAAGCTGTGTATAAATATTTGATATCAATATTCTAAAATAACATAGATGGTGCTTGTATAAATTTTTAACAGAAATTTTGGTGTATAAAACAAGCTCAAGTGCAGATTTTTCCTTCTGAAATAGAGATAATTTCTTCTTGAAGACAGAACTCAATTGAGAGAGAGAGAGAGACAGAGAAAAAGAGGCAGAGAGAGACAGAGATGGAGAGAAAGGGAGAAAATATATTCATCAATTTATTATGGTTAATATTACATTAGATTTATCCAACATATTTATAATTATTAATATGCAATATGGCTGATAAAGTCAATGCAAGCAAAATAAATCCATGGGCATATTTTGATAGAAGGCAGCCTTGGAGAAACATTCTTATACTTGTAGGATTAGCTGATAGATACTGCAAAATGAGACCACATTGAACCAATTTAGTAATTATTTCTCTCTTTTTGTCTTTGTCTTTCTCTGCTTCTGTGTTTGTCCCTCTCCATTCTTCCAAAACTTCTGCAATACTTATTTCACCTAAAAAGTAAAAATAGACTATTAACTTCAACAATTATAGTTCCTCAACTCCTCCAACATAGTTAAGGCATTTCCAAATCACAGATCAAGACATACCCTCTAATTAAATACTAATTGACTTTGACAACTGCAAGTCAGCAAACACAGATGCCTTAAACTTGTGACTTATTATATTCAACAAAACAGTGATCACCACCTTTTAAACACATTAGTCACAGAGCTGTTTCCCTTTAATTGTGAAATATCAAGTCAACAGGAAGGGCTTATATTAAAACACCAGCATAGATTTTAAAACTTCTCAAGGAGATGAACACTCAAAGCCATTAAAGACAAAATACCCTATCGACTTGAATGACAATAATATCTTGGCACATCCATTAGTACATTAATACTACATGAAGCCATTACATTGTTTCCATCTATCTATTAATACTCTGTTTCCACATATCTATTAATATAATCAGTGATAATATGGAAAACATTCAATATTTTGAAACTTGCAAAAAGAAAATTTAAGAAGAGTGTTTTTGAGAATGAGCATGATATTTTCTCCATCTCTTCTTGTCCAATGGCAATAACAAGACATTGGCCAGGGACTACCATCCCAAAGATGCATATAATTATTGTTTGCACAGTCAATGAAATATCCTGAAAGTTGAGCTGATAAACATATTGTCCAAGATTAGGGTTGCAGTTTTCAGATTAACGTTTGGGTTGGGTTTCCTTGCCATCTTAATCTTTTTTTCTTTTTTTTTTATGAGACGGAGCCTCCTCCGTCGCCCAGGCTGGAGTGCAGTGGCGCGATCTCGGCTCGGCTCACTGCAAGCTCCACCTCCCGGGTACATGCCGTTCTCCTGCCTCAGCCTCCCAAGTAGCTGGGACTACAGGCGCCCGCCACCACACCTGGCCAATATTTTGTATTTTTAGTAGAGATGGGGTTTCACCATGTTAGCCAAGATGGTCTCCATCTCCTGAGCTCGTGATCCACCCGCCTCGGCCTCCCAAAGGGCTGGGATTATAGGCGTAAGCCACCACGCCCGGCCTAGCCATTTATTTTCATTGTAACTTGAAACTCCTTGAACTTCTATTTCTTATAAAATAAGAGATGATAACATCTGTCTCACTAAGTAATTATTACAATTAAAAACACCAATTTAGAGTTTAGCTCATTGCCTAGAACATTGGAAGCTCCTTCTATATCAACTTTTTGTAGCGTTATTACCTTTTAAGGTTCATACAATGATTTCCAATGGAGTAGACTTACATTTCCATTTTGTAGAAAAAGAGAACTGAATTTGGCCCATGGATACACAGTGAATAGGTATTTGGGGCTGGATTTTAAAAAGGGCGATTATCCCAGAGTTAACATATTGTCATAGTTAGCTACTTAGCACAGTGCCTCACAAAAACAGTAAAATAGCATCAATATTTTTATTGCTTCAATGTATGTCTTTATAGCAACTTCAAAAACAGTAAAATAGCATCAATATTTTTATTGCTTCAATGTGTGTCTTTTTCTCTCTTTGGACTCCTGCCTTTTATAACAGTGTGTCAGACCACGTGGGAAGGCAAAAGAAGAGTACAAAGGAGATGGAGACCCAGCAGACAAGGTATTTATACCAAGTGGCTGGGATCTGACAATAGTTTAATCTCTGATTTCAGTTTTATCAGAGATGTTAAAGCTGAAGAAGCTGTGCTGGACGTCAGATCAGTAAGGCGGGTCTGTTGCTCTAAACTTATCTTATGATCATTTGCCTCATTGGTGGTTTGGTTTCATAAAGTGGAAAAATGTAGGATTTTCCCTCTGTGCTTGATTTTGGCCCTTGTTCTTGACTTTGACCCAGCTACTTACCACACTTCAGTTCTTGAAATTGTTTCAATCTGACACTAAGAGAGTTGAAGGGCAAAGTAAGATTCAAGACCTGTCAAAGTCAGTCCAACATAAAAGGGCATTTTGGCTTCTACTCCTCTAGTATTAGCCCACAACAGGTGTCCAATTTTGATTTTTCTATTTCCTACTCCACAGCCAGTGCACAAAACTCAGATTTCCGTCTTCATTTTCACATGTTACTTGGTTTGACGAGGAATGTCTTGCAGCATTGCACTCAACCAGAAATTGTTTATTTTTCTACATCCCTGACAAAGGAAAACAAACAAACAAACAAAATAACCCTAAAGCACATCTGTATGTTTTTCTTTCCAAATTTGGAGAAGTTTAAAATAAATTAGAAAGGAAACATAACTGGTTGTAGCAGATGGTGATATTCCATTTTATTAGATGCATTTTTCCTCTTTTTCAAATCTAGGTAGATAATGTAATTAAGCAGGCAGTCTTAGATAATTCAAAGTGTCAATATAGTCAGATCAACTCCTCAGCAAATCAATGTGTGACAACTGCTCTCTTCACTTATAAATTGTCCCCACACTTCATAAGGTACATCTTTGGCATAAAGCATAAGGGAGTTTTGTGACATAGTTAGATATCAATGTGGCTTCCAGGTTTTTTTTTTCATAATTGCAATTTAAATGTATGGCTAGAAGCTGGCATTTTCTAGTTGTAAAGAGGCTGTCTGGTGTCTTTCTGGCTTAGATATGTGAATCTGACCCCTGCTCCCCACCACTCTTGTTCAGAATCCTTATTCTTTCATATGTCACCCTCTGAGGTAGCATGAGAAGAAAGTTCAGAGGAAAGGTCATATTCTGGGCGGACAGCTTGCATCTGTCTGAAAGGGAACTTCATTTGTTTCCACTTTATGCTATTTTATTTGAAAAGAGGTGTTTAAGTGATATTTGCTTGCTTCTTGCTCTACTAGTGAGAAAAATTACAGACTGTAAACAGGTCAGTGGAAGCTCTCAAAGATTTTCTTCCTAAGAAATAGTTCCAAATTTTTTTATTTGAAAATAGTCCTCAAATTTTATTTTTCCTGATAAATAACAAGACTTTTTTTCTGTTGTGAACCATACCATATTGATGAAATTACTAAATCAGTATTTCAATGGGATTTTTAAATAAATTTATGAATACAAATAAGACCAACTAACACTTAGAAAATGGTAATTTAATACCTACTATTAAAGCAGACAAGCTGAAATATAAATACTAATATATCATTGCTGATAATACATCTTTACACAACCTTTTCAGAGAGCAGTTGAGGAGTATTTGCCAAGTTTTAAATGCACACAACATTTATATTAGCAATACTGCAGAAACATGTCTATTTTATAGACATATTTGTCCATCTGTGACACTAAATGTATATGAATATTTATTGCAACATTGTAATTTTATCTATTGAACATTTAGTTTGTTTTTAAGTTTTCTACTATTTAAACAAAATATGGTACATTAAACAATAGTGCACTAAATGGCCTATGAAAATAATATATATCTAGATGCACTGACAAATAAAGATGATTTCATACATATAAAACCTAAAAAAAAAAAACTTGTATAGAATGATGTCTAAAAAACACCCTGATAAATTAAATTATTTGGGCTAAATGTCTGATTCCATTTACTAGGTATCTTATCATGTATAAGTCATCCAATGTCTTTGAACCTCAGATTCTTCCTCTGTTTATATAACTCTCAGAGTAATTACAGTAGGTAGGTTTTATATAACTTAGAAGTTTTTTTTCTCGGCTCACTGCAAGCTCCGCCTCCCGGGCTCACGCCATTCTTCTGCCTCAGCCTCCGGACTGGCTGGGACTACAGGCGCCCCACCACGCCCGGAGAATTTTTTGTATTTCTAGGGGAGACGAGCTTTCACCGTGTTAGCCAGGATGGTCTCGATCTCCTGACCTCGTGATCCGCCCGCCTCGGCCTCCCAAAGTGCTGGGATTACAGGCGTGAGCCCCCGCGCTCGGCCATAACTTAGAAGATTTAATAGTGAAAAATAGGATGAGACTGTGAAGGGTAATTGTCTTTCTTCTTATATAATAATTAAAATGTTAAAATTAAATATTTCTGAATTGCAAGATTATGTCTATAATATTCAAAACAAAATTTACAAAAGGTATATTACACAACAATTATTATAGTGATATTTAATTAATATATAAACCATATTTCTAATAGTTTGAAACACTATACACACTGCACATTCCAAGCACTGTGTTTAATGCTGAGGATACTAACTATAATGCTCTCACCAGATCCTTTTTTTTTCAGTTAAGAACTTCTTGTTTGCTGGGCACAGTGGCTCATGTCTGTCATCCTGGAACCTTGGGAAGCCAAGGCAGGCAGATCACTTGAGGTCAGGAGTTCAAGGGCAGTCTGGCCAATATGGTAAAACTCCATCTCTACTAAAAATACAAAAATTAGCCAGGTGTGGTTGCAGGCACCTATAATCCCAGCCTGGGTGACACAGCAAGATTTTGTCTCAAAAAAAAAGAAAAGAAAAAAGAACTTACTGCATTTTTGTTAAATATACTGGATTCTCACCCCATTCGATGGATGAGACAAAACTAGTACAAACTTTTTTCATGGATTTAAAACACTACATTAAAATTACAGATTTCAAATGTCAACAAAAGTAAAAATTCAAAGAAGGGCATCAGACATTGTTAATTTTAAACAATGACAAAAATGCCAACAATACTAATGATGATACAGTGTTTATGACTAGGAAACTTCTCAATAAATGTTAGCTTAGTAACTTCACTCATTTAGCCTTTACAACAATAACTTAGGAGCAGCTGCTACTATTCCCATTTTATGCATATGAAATCTGGGGTGAGGAGATATTAAGTCACACAAATATAAGTAGCCACATGCGGAGATACTAAATTCAGATCTTCCCTACTTTAACTGCTATATTGTAGAGCCTCACAGCAGTTTTCTTACCCTAATAGCTTATTGTATTTAAATGACTGTACGTATTATTTCAGAAAGAGTTATATTTGTACATAGACCCATATGTTATAACATTTTATTCCTAAGGAAGTATCATAACATAACTTTGTATCTCAATTTGGCCTATAAACCAATACTAAAATCATATTCATGTAGCCAACTATAAGAATATTAATAATAACAAATAATTAGTCTAGCATCAACAACAAATTTTACTTGCTAGAATATGCAAATATCAAAAAAAGAAAAAAACTTTTATTATCCAGTTGGAAGTTTATAGCAGTAATTGAAAGCAACCTAATTTTAATTATATTGAAAGATTTTCATCTGCAACAAGTGTCTGAAGACAATAAAGCAAATTATTCAGAAGCCTCAATGAAAAGGATGTGTTCCTTAACCACTAGGAAGGAAAAGTAGTAAAAACAGCATAGATTAGGAGGCACATTTTCTAGGACCTATATTTTACAGGCAGTTGGGTTTATAAATTACAAGAAATATCAGCAGAACAGTGCCTTCGTTAATAGAAGTGGAATATATAGATGATGATTCTATTTATTTATTAATTTATTAATCCATTTACTCATTCATGATTCATTTACTTATTCAGTATGTATTTAACATGTAATTGGTGCCTGGTTGGCACTGGGCTAATTGCTGCAGAAAGAGCAGGAAATTAAATTCATTTGCAGTTACACCATCATTAGACTGCAATCTCCCCAAGAAGGACTTTTGGATTTTGTATTTGTGTCAATGAGTTTGAGTCTATCAGGCATGGTCTTGATATAAAAAGATGGCACACTCAAATTAGATAACATGAGAAGAACATAAGAAGAGGCTATTTTTAAAGGCTCCAAGTAGCATTTTGAAAAAAAATAAGGGATGGTACCATGCTTTAGAGCATGTAACATTGGAAAGATACTATCTCCTCTAGGCTTGATGGAGCGGGCAGAGGGAATAATTATCAGAATGCTGAGAGAAGCAGATTGGAGAGGGTCATTCAAGTTATGGCCATCAGCAGAAGGAAATAGCCAAATTTAGGTATTATAGCAGAAAAGCCATCTGGGGAATAAATACAAAACTCCACTCTCCTATTACCTTCCATTTTCATACAGAATTTGTTCCCACAGCTCCCACTGATCTAACTCAACCACAATCTAGAGCATGGGAGAACCCAGTGATGCACTGCACTGAAGTTAGCCTTCAGGGACATACAAAAAGGAAAAGAGGAGTGAAGAGTATTTCCGGAACTGGAAGGCTGAACGGTTGAGATCCAACATATGGAGCAAGACATGTAAATACATAAAATTTAATATTCCTTACATGCATTCAGGAAGACAACAATTTCCACCCCCAACCCCGATCATCCACACTCGATTTTCAGGGTTACACATAACAAGCTAGAGTAATACAAACAAAAAAAAAGGGTTGTTCTTATCTTTGAGTTGTATTATTAGTGACCTTTCTCAGCACAACTGTGATTATGACCCCTGATTAGAAAGATCTAGATTTGTTTTGTTGAAGTTTCAACAAGTGTCTTATCAGTTCTTTCTTTTTTTGATCAAATACTTAAAAAAACTCGTATTTTAAGTTCAGGGGTACAAGTGCAGGTTTGTTACATAGGTAAACGTGTGTCATGAGGGGTGTGTTGTACAGATTATTTAATCACCCAGGTATTAAGCCTAGTACTGATTTATTATTTTTCCTGATTCACTCCCTTCTCCAAACCTTCATGCTCTGATAGGCCCCAGCATGTGTTTTTCCTCTCTAAGTGTCCATGTGTCCTCAACTTTGAGCTCCCACTTATTAGTGAGAACCTGCAGTATTTGCTTTTCTGTTCCAGGGTTAGTTTGTTAAGGATAATGGCCTGTAACTCCACCCATGTCCCTAAGAAGGACATGATCTCATTCTTTTTTATGGCTGCTTAGTATTTCTTGGTGCATATGTACCACATTTTCTTTATCCAGTCTATCACTGATGGGCATTATAAGAAGAATCAATTCTTTATTAACACATTCAGCCCATTCGACCAGTGTTGCAGTTAGTGGAACTAAGATGAATCAAAAAAATAGAAGAAAAATTGTTCTGATGTGGAAAGTGGAGGACTAAAATCTTGTTTCAAAGAGATGTAGTTCTGTTCATAATCAATCATTGATGGAGGCCATGGAGAGTGGCCCAATGTATATGTCAAATTTCCCATGTCTTCGGAGAACATAAGGATCAGTTGAATATTAGATAGACAATTCCCATCCTCTTTCCTTCTCATGACATATCTCAAATCTATGTTAAAAAGCAGAATGCTATATTCTTCTGCACTCTCATGTTTATCAGCATGCATGTGTGTGTACATAGGTGTGTACACACATGTGATTACTGAACATAACATTTGGCCTTCTACTAGTAATAGTGTAATGCTGGCATTATATGTAAAATAGTTGTTATAATGTTCAAATAAACCAGTCAGAAGGTATTTTTAAAATATTGTGAGAAAAAATGGGTACAACACTTTATTGGGGACTGGTATATATCAATTATTTATTAAATATTAGATTCTAAATGTAATTTTTTAAAAATGAACTACAGCTAGCTAGTGCTATCTGTGAGTTCCACATCCATTGGATCAACCAAATGCAGACCAAAAACATTAAAAAAAAATAAAAGTAGCTATGACAATAAAAATAATACAAAGAAAAATAAAGTATAAGAACTACTTACAGAGCATTTATATTCCATTAGGTATTTATAAATAATTTAGAGATGATTTAAAGTATTCAGGAAGATATGTATATATGATATGCAAATAATATGCCATTTTATATAAGGGACTTGAGGATCCATAGGTTTTGATATCTGCAGGAGTCCTAGATCCAATCTCTTGTGGACACCCAGGGTCAACTCTACTTATTCTCAGCTTCCTCATATAAACACCTCTCATCAAACTTCATGTATTCTAAAACCTTCTAAGCCCTAACATTACAAATTAATAACAGATGTCACGGCTATCTGTGTCTTTCACAGATATATTTGTGAGATTAGAAAGTACATTCATCTTATTTAAAGAGCAAAATTATACTTTAATAAAAGGACAATTCCATATGGCAATCAAATACATCAAGGCCATTCTGGTTAACCACTTGAAAAGGAGGAGGGACTCCATCCAGGCTGCATAGAACACATGAACCCCCATGACACATAAATGGTGACAGAGTCCAATATGGATATATGAAATGCCATTAAGACATTGTCTTTTACTGAAACAGATTCGAATTTAAATCCAACTTCATCCATCATTTGTATATAATCTTAGGCAAGCCACTTAGCATTTCTGAGTTTGCTTCCTAATCTAAAACATACGTATTTTTTATATCACCATCTTATGGAAACCTTAAGCGGTTTAGCAATATTTTGCTAGTGTCTGTACTGTTTCTTACATACGTAATTATATAATCATCAATATCATTTTCTGCTTTATTGTACTAATTAGCTACATAATAAAATATTAATATTATTTATGGAGCAAGCACAGTACGAGATATGCTGGACTTCATTCAGTTACTTACTTTTCCTATTGTTTTCTCTTCTGTAAAGTGCTTACATGTCAGGACTGCATGAGGTAACTGCATACAGCTGAAGCCAAAATTTAAAATAAGGTTATGTTTATTGCAGCACTATTTACAATAGCAATGATTTGGAACCAACCAAAATACCCATCAGCTTTAGACTGGATGAAGAAAAAGAAAATGTGGTACATATACACCATGGAATACTACCCAGCCATTAAAAAAAGAATGTGTTTATATCCTTTTGCAGAGACATGGATGAAGCTGGAAACCATCATCCTCAGCAAACTAACACAGGAGCAGAAAAATAAACACCACACGTTCTCACTCATAAGTGGGAGTTGAACAATGAGAACACATGGACACAGGGAGGGGAACATCACACACCGCGGTTTGTTGTGGGGTGGGGAGAAAGGTGAGGGAGAGCATTACGACAAATATCTAATGCATGTGGGGCTTAAAACCTAGATGATGGGGCCAGGCCCAGTGGCTCACGCCTGTAATCCCAGCACTTTGGGAGGCTGAGGTCAGGAGATCGAGACCATCCTAGCCAACATGGTGATACCCTGTCTCTACTAAAAATACAAAAATTAGCTGGGAGTGGTGGCACATGCCTATAATCCCAGCTACTTGGGAGGTGGAGGCAGGAGAATTGCTTGAACCAGGGAATCAGAGGTTGCAGTGAGCTAAGATCGTGCCACTGCACTCTAGCCTGGTGACAGAGCGAGACTCCATCTCAAAAACAAACAAACAAACAAAAAAACCAAAAACAAACAAACAAAAACAACAACAACAGCAAAAACCCTAGATGATGGGTTGATAGGTGCAGCAAACCACCATGGCACATGTATACCTATTTAACAAACCTGCACGTTCAGCACATGTATCATAGAACTTAAAGTACAATAAAATAAAATAAGAAAGATAAAATAAGGTTATCTGGTGTGATTCGCAGTGTTATAACAACTTGATCTTATTGTTCTGCCTAACCAAGTGTCCTTGATTCATCATACAGAATGCATCACAGATAACAGTCTCTAGTAGAACCAAGCGTTGATTGTAGGTCTAGTGTCTAGTAACTGACACCGTACCGTTCCAAGTTTACATTGGAACATGATGTAAGTCAAGAAAATCTGACTTTCTCATTCTTTCTCTCTCTCATTGTTTCTGCTTTACTAAGGGAGTTTTTACCTCACTCATTGCACCTGCTTTCTCACAACCATTTTTAAACATATGTATTAATAACACCAATTGATGCAATCTGGTTTTGTCCAATAAAACAATCTTCCTAACGGCTGTCTATTCATGCTGATTACTCAAGCTCCAATTCCCACAGGTTGATGTGAATGGTCAGAAGGAACCTGGATACACAGTAGGGTGTGCCACAGAGAGGGACCAGTAACATAGATAATCATCCACATTTTTCTTTAAAAGAAAGAAAACAACTGTATTGTTGAATAAGTGTTTAACTAGAATATGCTGTGCATCACAGCAATCTACTAAAAGACTGCCTAGACTGAAAGAAATCCCACCCTTTTATGTACCCAAGCAGACACAATTCATTGCTTACTTGTTCCCAAGGTAAACAATACCTAGTCTTCAAACAAGAGCTTGACAGCACTGATTGTTGCATACAATTCATCCTAAATTCACTTAGTAATTGGGGTGACTATCTGTGTTAACTAATTAGCATTACCCAAAGAAAAAATAAACTTCCCATATAAGAGATAATTTTACAACTGGGAGGGAAGGGACCACTAAAGTTAGGTTCCTACTCTACCGCAGAAATTAGGAGATAAAAACACTATCTTTCTTGATGATTACTTTTTTAAAAAATGCTTTCCAGATCCTTGAGAAAGATATTCCTAGATCATAAAGCTGGCAAGAGGTGTATTTACCTTTAAAAAGATTTATGTACATTTCAAAGAGACACTGAAGGAACTTATACATTTTCTAAAGTAAATACTCATAAGAAAAGGGAGGGAGGGAGTATCTTCCTTTAATTTCAACCAGGAAAATCATGTCTTTTTAAATAAATTTGTATTTGCCCTTCTAATACCCATATGCATGCACACACACAATTATAATTTTTATTCTGAATACACACATACATGCACATATAATACACACATGCATACACATAATTATGATTTTTATACTGAATAATTTGAAAGTTGCAGACATCTACGATATATTTACTAATTTGTTTAATTTTAGAATATATATAAAGTGGTATCAGAATTTGTACCTTCTTTTTCCCTTTGAGTTGCTATCACAACATGGCATAGATTGGGTAATTTATACATAAAAGGAATTTACTTATCACAGTTCCAGAGGCTGGGAAGTCCAAGATCCAGGTGCTCGCAGATTCTGTGTCTGGTGAAAGCTCTGTCTTTGCTGCGTAGATGGTGCCTCTTGCAGCATTCTCACATGGTGGAAGGGCAGGTGGGCAATAGGGATAAATGCTGTGTCCTCACTTAGCAGAAGATGTGAGTGTAAGAGCCAGGCAGCTCTCTGAAGCCTCTCCTATAATGGCATTAATTCCACTTGTGACAGCAGAGTGTTTATGACTTACAGACTTCCCTAAGAGCCCCACCTCTTAATATCGCCACAATGGAGATTAGGTTTCAACATGAATTTTGCAGGGACACAATCATTCAAACCATGGCAGTAACCTATACTACTGTGAAAAGCAAACCCATGAAGCAGAGTTCAATATTTGTTTACATTTCTGTAAATATTATGTTCAAAACTTACTTTTTGTCTTTCTCTTCAACAAGGTTGTTTGTCATTCAGTTGAAACATGATTTGATTCTTTTATAATGGATTTAGCATGTTTACCCAGTGTAATTATTTTTTTCAAAAAACTGCTATTGTTGAGTGTGAAAAACATTAATATGCTTCCAAAAGTTATATTCAGAGAAGTATCATTCACTTTCCCACAGTTCATATATTTTTGTATTGTTGGATGTTATCTTTAAATTTTTTCCACATTTAATAAACATATAAAGCATGTTAGCTGTATAGAATAAGACTAGGTCCCTTGTAGAATCTCATAGTATATTCCTCCAATATGTTTTATCATTTTCAGAATTTCCCACTGTGTAAACCATCCTGAGAAGTGGCCTGAATTGAAGAACCATCAAGACCTTGCAGTTTTGACATTTGCAGAAAGATGTGTGGGAGTACAAGAGGTTCATGGTGTGTGGCCTCCCAGTATCTTCTGTAGAAACTGTGTGGCTCTTCCTTTGGCTTGATTAGGTCCTTCTCCTTTGTTCTACTTCTTCCATCCAAGCACTTAATATTTTGCATTATAATCATTGATTTCCTTATTGGTCTCTCTTTCCTTAAGGGAAGAAACTACATCTTACTGAACTGCTATAAGAGCCTGATGTTCTCTGGATGCGTGGGGACACAGAGATGAATGGATGCAGGTGAGTAAACATAACGACATGGTGAAAAGTTGAGGAAAGGCAATCTGTACATTAATCATCTGGGTTTTGTTATCTTTCATTCCAGATGCTTAGTACAAAGTGGTACTTGTTAAAATGCAAATTATTAGCCCCTTCTCTTACAGGGATTTAGGGATAGGGAGTTATACTCTACTTACTACCTATTAATCGAAGAGAATTTGAAGCAAGTACTGCAGAAACCATATGTAGAAGATTGATTTTGACCTAGACAAGTGGATTTTCCATGCCTTAAGCTACATATTATAATAAGAAAAGGAAAATCTGGAAAGTAAACACAAGACTTATGGAGGCTGCTCTTGTGGAATGATATTATGGGTATCATCAATGTGATCATTACTACCTGAAAGAACAGATCCAAACAATTTTCCATTTACTGCATGAAAAAAGGGGGCTGGGCATGGTGGTTCACGCCTATAATCCCAGCAGTTTGGGAGGTCGAGGTGGGCAGATCAACTGAGGTCAAGAGTTGGAGACCATCCTGGCCAACATAGCGAAACCCCGTCTCTACTAAAAATACGAAAATTAGTTGGGCGTGGTAGCGTGCACCTGTATTTCCCAGCTACCTGGGAGCCTGAAGCAGGAGAATTGTTTGAACCCGGGAAGTGGAGGTTGCAGTGAGCCGAGATCACACCACTGCACTCCAGCCTGGGCGACACAGCAAGAAAAGAAAAGAGAAAAGAAAAGAAAAGAAAAAAGAAAAGAAAAGAAAAGAAGAGGAGGGGAGTGGAAGGGAGGGGAGGGGAGGGGAGAGTGGATAGGAGAGGAGAGGAGAGGAGAGGAGAGAAAGACATGCATGATAAGTTCCAAATGCTTAAGAATATAAAATATGCAGGCTTCACATTTAGCGGGCAGTGTTAACCTTACATAAAATATGGGTAACTATAGAAAGACACTACTATGGTGGAGATTTTTGTCAAATGGTCCGATATAATCTCAATGGTTTTTACTATGGAACATTGTAAGGGAAAGATATTTGCCCTGTTTCCCCAACTTTAATGAATTACCTCTTCTCCATGCATATATACATATATATATATATATACACACATATATATATATACATATATATATATATGTATATATATATATATATATAGAGAGAGAGAGAGAGAGAGAGAGAAAGAGAGAAAGAGACTGCAAATCACAGTATCACCTGGTTTTCTGGTTGAAGGTGTAAATCAGTGACTTGGCTTGAATCAACACAGTATCCTCTCTTTCCACAACTATTAGTTTAAACATTACTACTCATCACAGTCATTTCAAAGTACTCAAGCTAGTAAATCGTGCATGGCAATTTTTGTGAGTCACTTAAACTTGATACTACTTTTGTTATCTTTCAAAATGCATGAGTAAGTCCTGCTTGAGAATAAAGTCTGCACAGAAGAAAGCAGCATCAAGAAACAGATGGAGGTGCAGAACTCTGAAAGTGGTATAGGAGAACCGGGATCCAGCTATGTCAGCAGTAAACTGTTTCTTAGCTGTTGTGTTGTATAAGCCAGTAAGTCTCTCACCCTCTCTTCCTTTCTATTTTATTCCTCCATAACTTTCTGCGATTAGTAAAGAACCTTCTCTGAATTCATTAGAGAAGAATATCTAACTTAAACTGTCTTAAACAAAATGGGTCAAAACAAATATCTAAGAGTTGTTTTGCTAGTTTCCTCTTTTCTTTATCACTGTCTTCTTCCCTTAGATTTTACACTTATTGTGACTTATTGTGAAAATACATACATTCATATATACATAATAAAAGTGAGAAAAAAGGAATAAATTAATGTTGGTTAGTACTTGGTTTATGAAAAGGAGAAAGTAATCATGAGAATACTAGTCTGAAGGACAAGAGACACAGGTTCTAATACTACCTCTGCCTTTAATTTGTCTTGTGGTATTTAGTGAAAACAAAAAGCATTTAGTCAAATAAGTGGAAAACAAACCAAGTATTGGTTTTAAATTAAATTCTTGAATTTCTAAAAAGTGTAAAAAATAACAATGTGAGATTTTAGCCTATTTTAAAACATAAATTTCAAATATCTCTTAAAAATCATAGATGTAATGGGGAAATTCCTGCCCAAACCAAAGCATCCTCCTATTTTTGTTAATATGCATGGTCTTATTTGAACTCAGCCTGGTAACTTTGGTTTACTCATGGAAACAAAAAGGGTTATGACTTGTGGGCTATATATGCCTTTGATTAATAATAAATTTGTAGTCAATTATTATTTAATAAACTCCATGGGTTTGGAAGACCACAGCCAGCTGGTCCTGTGGTTCCTGACCTTTATTTCCCCAACAAGACCCTTTTTATTTTTTTCTTCCCCCTTTTGAAATATTTCAAAATATCCTAGGAAAGAGTATGTGCTTTGGTGACATACTGACTGGGGTTTTGCTTCTATGCTTAGAATTAACCAGTTGGGTGTTTCTCTGAACTTTAGTTTTATCACCTTTAAAATGGGATTGCATGTACCTCCAGCACAGAATTACTATTAAGTATAAATCAGAATTTTGTTTGTCCTGTTGTTAACGTTTTATAAACATTAGTTTTCTATTCAGATTCAAATTCTTAAAATCAGGTTTTTACCTTAACTATAATGTATTACAAATAATCTAAGACCACAGGTAGTCTATAGGATTAGAAAGAGAATTCTGCTTTATTAAAAATGGGTTAATAAAATCTTAGATTTAGTAATGTAACACTAATGGAATATGAAATGTATCTTATAAATTCTCTATAAGCCATATCTTTTACAAAGATACTGAAAAAAAAATCATGGATTCAGTAGTATAAATACCCAATTGCCACAAAATGTCTGGAATAGAAAACTTTTTTTTTTAAGACAGTTTCACTCTTGTCCCCCATGCTGGAGTGCAATGCGCAATCTCAGCTCACTGCAACTTCCACCTCCCAGGTTCAAGTGATTCTCTTGCCTCAGCCTCCCGAGTAGCTAGGATTACAGGTGTGCGCCACCATAATCGGCTAATTTTTTGTGTTTTTAGTAGAGATGGGATTTCACCATGTTGGCCAGGCTGGTCTCAAACTCCTGACCTCAGGTGATCCGCCTGCCTCAGCCTCTCAAAGTGCTGGATTACAGGAGTGAGCCATTGAACTGGGCCTGGAATAGAAAACTTTAATTTAACCTCCCTTAATGATGTGTTAACATTTGATGTCTAAGAAAGCAAACATTAAATGACTTAGTAAGATCTTTCATATGTATAGCAAAAATGATGCACAAAATGCAATAGGTTACAAAAAGATATGCCAGGGAATCTCTTGCTTTCTATAAGGCCACCTATAGCAAAGTGAGATATTTTCAGAAACAGACAAGGAGAACAGGGATGTTTCTGAAGGAGAGGTCAGACTAATATTTTTTAAGGTTTAAACAAGATAAAAAATCTATCATTGCAACCCTAAACTGTCTTGACTTTCTTTGAACATGCAGAGCCCTCATGTGATTCGAAATTATCCACAAAACTTGAAAACTTTTGCAGAGAAATTTGGCAGCCACCAGAAATTCCTGGAAGATAAATACCTTTGTAAGGGCAGCATGTAAGTGTATATAGATGCTCAAGGTGGGCCCACAGTTCCCAAATCCAATTTTTTTCCTAAGGCTATTATGGAAATTGGGTTATTCATTCAGAATCTGAGGAAAATTATTGACACTTTCTCAAGAATAAGTCACATATGGACACATACACAAATTAGTTTAGGGAGCATCAAAAACTCTTTGAAACTTACAATGTTCCTTAGATAAAGAACAACTGGTTTATTTACCAGCTAATACATATTCATGATTGCATACATCGGTTAACATGTTTTTAGGCCAATAATTGTTCTCAATGTTTGTATTCCACAAAAGAGTCACAGGAGAAATGGAGGCAAATACTTGAAGATGTCTATGTTCAGTTGCATTACGTACTGAGATAGGGCCCTCTCTGAAGTATATGAGATCCTGAGCACTGGACTCAATATGGGTTCTGGTTCAGCTCAAGGCAATCCACCCATTATATTTTGAATTAATTAATCAAATTAATGGTGATTTCATTGTTAGGCCTAGAGGCTCCCATGCAACAGAGGGGATTTTAAAAATTTTTCAAGAAATTACTTTAAAGCATGAAGACACAATGCTCCACACACAGGCCCTGCCTGTGGGCCCTAAGGCAACATTGTGTCCAATAGCTAGTGAATCTTTGAGGGAGAGATTTACATTAAATAATCAGCCAGAAGATTGGTACATGATATAATACACCAATTTCAAAACTTCCCCATGTCGGCCAGGTTCTGTGGCTCATGCCTGTAATTCCAACACTTTGGGAGGCCAAGGTAGGAGGATCACTTGATCCCAGGAGTTCCAGACCAGTGTGTACAACATGGCAAAACCCTGTCCCTACTAAAAATACAAAAAAATTATTTGAACATGGTGGTGTGCACCTACAGTCCCAGCTACTCAGGAACAGCGAGGCTGAGGTTGGAGGATCGCTTGAGCACAGGAGGTTGAGGCTGTAATGAGCACTGATGGTTTCACTGCCCTGGAGCCTGGGCAACAGAACAAGATCCTGTCTCAAAAAAACATAAACCAAAAACAAACAAACAAACAAAACTTATCCATGTCAACAGAATTATCAAACACACTGGAATATTCAATTTCAACCCACCCTTTCACTAAGGGCAATCTATGAAAAACACTAAGTTATTCGAATACAATAGCATTCAGATACCACAGGAAATGTACTGTACAATTTTAGAGCCTAGATTTATTAAGCAATGTATGGCATCTATATATGATAGATTCACTTTAATCTTAGAATTTTTTTTAAAGAGGACTGAGATACATCAGTTGCTTTCCTCAGTAGAGCCAATGAACTCAATAATGTGTCCATAGAAGATGGGCCACACAGTAAGTAAAATGAACCAGGGTAAAAGGGGGAGAATTTTGCTAGTATGACGTTGTATGTAGTCACACATGCATTTTACTGCAAAGTGGGGAAAGGTCTGCCTTTTTCTATGAAATACTCTTGGTACGACAAGAAGTAAGCACCAGGCACAAGGACATAGGAGATTTGCCAATGTCTGAAGACATTTTTGTTAGATACAATTTGGAGGATGGTGCTACTGACCTCTGTATGTAAAGGCCAGGGGTGCAGCTAAACTTACTATGATACAGAGGGTAGCCTCCCAGAACAAATAATTACCCAGCTCTAAATGTTAATAGTGCTAACATTGTGAAACCCATCATATATAATATGTATAAATATATGATATGATATGATATGATATAATTTTCCAATACTGTGATTGTGTGGATGGAGAATCTCAGTATCTACACATGGTGTCTGTAAAGTGGGCATATTAAGTTACTCATATTGCACAGACATTTGAAAAAGAAAAAGTGGACCAAGATTCTCTGCCTAGTACATGTTACTCCTCACATAGCTTTGAAATTTTAGCTTTTTCTATGTCTCATTTTTTGCATCATAAAGGAAGTTTTGCTGGTATAGTTTTCATAGTTCTGGAGGTACCTCATTTTTATGACTGCCAATACCACCAATCTCCCACCATCAAATTTTGAAACCTCCCCAACCCTGCCTACCTTCATGCATACACTTTGTTTTACTTTTGGACTAAAGATTTAGTTTCTATTGTAGAATGGGACCTTGCAGTCTCTTTTTGAATTGAATGCTGAAGAAACGTCATCTTTAATTAAAATGATAGTATCACCATTTAAAGGTTAAAATACACACAAAGACACGAGTAATAATGGTTCAGTTTTATATGGCTTAGCGGGCTGGCTATTGCAAGAATGCTTCTTAGGCGCCTGGTTTGCTTTGAGAAAAGAAAAGAAAGAGAGAGGATCTTGCTTTTCTAAAGATATGAATTCTAGATCTGATTGCTTCTGTGAAGAACATTTAAAAAGGATTAGGTAATTCTGGTTGGAAAAAAAATATGAGTTCATGTTAAAAGTTTCAGAGTTGACTGCAGTATAAGTCCCATCAACTTTTCCTGAGCAAATTTGTGCATGGTTTGCAAGCTGTTGAGGAACTCATATCTCTCATAGCTCCAACAAGAATAGGACACGCATGGCCTGGTGTGCCTCCCACTCAGGCTGGCTTGAAAGAGCTTGAACAAAATAAGAGGATTGGAAGAAAGAAGCCAAGTGATTCAAAGTGAGTCTGATTTCCCTAATCTTTGTTATCAGCTAATGATTTGCTTCCTAGTTTATCAAGAAAACACAAAAATGGCTTCCACGTGGAGAAACTGTCATGTTTACACATTTCAATGCCTGGGCTTCCATGTAGGTCTGCATTCTCTCCAGTTAACTCAAACTATTTTGCTTCTTATAAAAGCCAATCCTAAGGGCGGTGCAAGATGTGCTTTGTTAAACAGATGCTTGAAGACAGCATGCTCGTTAAGAGTCATCACCACTCCCTAATCTCAAGTACCCAGGGACACAAACAGGGCTGAAGGCGCTCTGCCTAGGAAAACCAGAGACCTTTGTTCTCGTGTTTATCTGCTGACCTTCTCTCCACTATTATCCTATGACCCTGCCACATCCCCCTCTCTGAGAAACACCCAAGAATGATCAATAAATACTAAAAAAATAAAAAGCCAATCTTCTCACTAATGTACAAGTTCCAAGAAGGTAGAGACTCCAGAGTCTGTGTTATTTGTTGTTGCATCCTTTATACCTAGAAGATCACTTAGCACATAACTGGCTGACAAAAATTATGTTTTTAATTAGTTAATACAGTGGTTTCAAAAGTAAAAGGAATACAGAGGGTGGTTGACTGGTTGCTCCTGGGATCTTCTGTAAGGGGTGCATTCCAGTGCTACCATCAAAAATCTGTTCTTCAGCATAATAGGACTAGAAATAGTTTAACAGCCAATCTTCAAAATTCGCAATTATTAAACCCAAATAAACAAATTTATTTTCTGGTACAAGTTTGTCAATATGAAATTAATTAAATATCTTATGCTGTAGCAAGATTTTCAATAGTTTCTTTATATTATATTTTAGAAAAATCTTTTAAGATAGGAAATGCTTCTAATATGTTACAAATTGGAAATAAAAGCAAGAAGTTATAAGACTATGTGAGCACAAATAATATAAACCAACAATTTGTATTGCTTATCTCTGGATAGTAGGACGATGTATTTTTTGCTTTTCTGTGACTTTCTATACTTTCAAGTTTCTGTCTCTCACTCTCACTCTCTCTTGCCCTCATTCTGTCTTTCTTTCTTGGTGAATACGTGTATAAACAATAGGTATAACACGTTTTAAAATTTCTTTATAGAGTATATGAATATATGTATATGCAAACATGTATTAAACCAAATATGTATTTTATAATCTGTTTGGTACTTATGTTTCTAATTAAAATGCTAATTGCTATTTTCCTGGTCATTATAATCATCTGTATCTGTTGTGCATGTGTGTGTTTGTGGATAGAGCAGGGTTGTAAATAGTCACTAGAGAATAGCTTGGCAAGAGTGCAATCAGAACAAAGGGCATTATCTCAGAGATGTCACCATTTGGTGTTGCTATAGATATGTGAGCATTGCATTTTCATCTTCATGTTGGTCAAGCAGGTAGGTATATTTGAGCCCATATCCAGGTGTTCTCTCCATAGATAATGCTGGAAACACTGATACATCTATCTACTATAGAATCTCCATTACTAACCACCATGTATCTCTTCCTCCATTTATTTATACCATATCTCTTGAGAGAGAATCTGGAAAAATGTGATTGTTTGAGCTGTCACAGTGCCTAGATATTTTTGAATATTTTATAAACCTGAATGAGACAGAGGTATGATAGACCTGCCCACCTTTTAATTTACATAATGGATCAAGTTGCTTCCAGAGACTGAACTCATTATTCTAAGCAAAGAAACAAACAACCCCATTAAAAACTGGGCAAAGAACATGAACAGACATTTCTCAAAAGACGAAATACAAGTAGCAAAGAAACACATGAAAAAATGTTCATCAATATTCATCAGAAATGCAAATTAAAACTGTAATGAAATATCATCTTACACCAGTTAGAATGGCTATTACTAAAAAGTCAAAAAATAACAGATGTTGGCATGGATGTGGAAAAAAGGGAAAACTTATTAATTGTTAGTGGGAATGTAAATTAGTTCAACCTCTATGGAAAACAGTATAGAGATTTCTTAAGTAAATAAAAAAACAAACATTCAACCCAGCAATCCCAAAGGAAAAGAAAGCATTATATAAAAAAGAAACCTGTACTTGTATGTTTATCACAGCGTTATTTAGAATCGCAAAGACATGGACCCAACCTGAGTGTCCATCAACAGTTGAATGGATAAAGAAAATGTGGCATATATACATTGTGAAATACTATTCACCCATAAAAAGAATGAAATCATCTTCTTTCCTGCAACTTTGATGGAGCTGGAGTCCCTTAACCTAAGGTAACTAACTCAGCAACAGGAAACCGAATACCACATGTTCTCACTTATAAGTGGGAGCTAATAAATGGGTACACATGGACGTAAAGATGGAAATAATAGACACTAGGGACATTCAAAGAGGGGACGGTAGAGGGTTCAATACTTACCCACTGGGTACAATGTTCACTGTTTGGGTAAAGAGTACACTAGAAGCTCAATCCCCACCAGTATGCAATATAGCCATGTCGCAAACATGTACCCCTTGAATCCAAAATAATATAAAAAATTATAAATAGAAACCAAATAAGGCAAGATTAACTTAGAATAGGTAGCCTTGGTTTTTAGATGCCACACTATTCTCAAGCAGAACAGGTAATCATGTTGCTCTGGATATCAAGACCTTAAGATGCTCTGTGACAAACTTGGGGAACTGTTCTTTTACAATCTGTTAATGGGTTCTCAAAAGTATAATTTCTTACACCTAACAGCTTCACTAAGTCAAAACTCTTTCAATTTTATCTATGAAGGTCTGCCACTCCCACAGATTTATTCTTGAGTCTAAGGGTGTCTTGACCACATGCAAGACCCCCAGTGCATGTGAGAGAACTTCGGGTGGAAGCAGCAACAATGCCACAAGTGCAGATGCCTCAGTAGAAACTGTAAATAAGTCTGTTTGGTTATCTTTTGCTGTCATAAGTCTGTTTGGTTATCTTTTCCTGTCCATTGTTATAGTCAGATACAAGAGGGTAATGAAAAATAGAAGAGAAAAGTGAACAGAAAGCACGTTGGAAAGTGCTCCTGGGATCTCCCAGGGTTACTTAGGAGCTTGGACGCATTTATCTTGGGCCAACTTTAAAAGGCAGGGCAAACATCAGCAAACCAAAATTTACCAAAGCCACAAGACCCTCAAGATAGCTATCACTTAACCCCCTCAAGGTAGCTCTCACTTAATCCCAGGACTGCCATTGTTTTACATTTGATTTTGGTTTTTACATTTGCCTTTTAGCTTCAGAAACAATAGAGAGTAGGCATAGAAATTACATTGTCTTCAATGGGGTTGAGGGAGTGAATATTCTTTCATGGGGACATGAGCACATGGAGAAAATGTGGCATATATATGCTGCAAAATACTATGCAGCCACAAAATGAATGAAATCAATTCCTTTTGCTGCAACTTCAATGGAGCTGGAGTCCAAGACTCCTTCTCACAGAGCTCAGCATCTGTGGGATTTTTCATAACAGCATGGCCTGTGGCAATAGAACCCCCTATCTTTCAGGGCAAAGATGCTAATGTAAAAATTTACAATTTACATTGTCAATGCCCCTATACAGAGAACTCCCTATCTTTACAGTTCAAATGGTTTCCATTTATTCATTTATATATCCATTTATCATCTTTTACATCTCATGAAAAAAACATTAAAATAATAAAAGTAAATAAATAAACTAATAATTAAAGCAATATAATTGCTAAATTTCTAATAAAAATTTTACTTGAAGAGGATATTATGAAGAAAAGGGAATGAGAAGATCCTAATGGGCACTTCCCTTTGGCAACAATGAAGCCAGTGGAACTATGAGGAGAACAGAAAGAGCTCACCTCCGTGCTGGCGAATGGCAGAAATACTGTTGACGTTAGAGTCTCAATGGACAGTGTGTTTCTTTAAAGGAAATTTCTCTCTCATAGTTCACCTCATCTCATAGTTCACCGATGAGGTGAAACTTCTTCCAGCACATTTTGTTCAATTTCTTCTGGTCATGTTTTCTGCAAATCTCTATTTAATGTGACATTTCTCCTCCCTAAACTTTTAGGAATGCCTGCTATCTATAGAATCAGGTTATGTATGTATGCTTATGATTACATCTCTTTTGTTAACAAAATTTTATATGAGGATAACTCATGGAGGTTAAAGCTTTGCATAATTCCAATTCTTGCAGAAAATGGGAGTATTATAATTCACATACACCAAGTTGTTTTTAAAAAATGAAAGAGAGAAATAAAGAGTGTTTTCAGTTACATTTTATTTTTCTGACACCAAAAGCATTTATTTCCCTTTCTGCTGGGCTGCCACCTGTCCCCAGCAGATGTTTTTTTATTAATCCTTTAGTGGTGTCCATTGCCAGCTCATTACCTGAATTCTCCGGGTTCTTAGCAGGAAAACTTCTCTTTCCTGAAGTCATTCTTTTCTCTGTCTCTCTCTCACTGTCTCTGTCTCTGTCTATCTCTCTCTCTCCCCCTCTCTCTTTCTTTCTTTCTTGTTTTCTCTTTGCCATTTTAGTTCCTCGGTGTACTCATCTTTATTTTTCAGAGTACATTAGTGGAAGGGAATGAAATTATCAAATCTTTGTTAATCTGTAAAATTGGCTTATGTTCTCTTCAGAAACACTGCCTCCTTCTCTGTGATTGGTTTCCTGACCCAGAGGAAAATAGTCTGACAAAGAAAGCTATAAGAAAACTGAACTGCTTTATAATTATGTCACATCAAATTACTTATTTAAAATATAATGGCAGTTTCGCATTTATCTTCACTTCCTTCCAAATTACATCAGTTTCAAGAATATTCTCCGATCACTATCCCTGTTTTGTCTATCTTAGGGATTATACAGTGTGGTCATGAGGGCAAGTGCTTCTGTATCCAGCTTATTAAAGATAACTCTCTTAATGTCCTCATATCCCCATGAAGGAATATTCATTCATTCCCAACCCCATGGAAAACAATGTGATTTCTATGTGTGTTATCTATTGTTTCTGAAGCAGAAAAGGCAAGAGATATAGTTAATTATCACCTCTTAATCCCTTTTATTTTATTCATTTTTCTTCTATTTTAGAGACAGGGTCTCTTTCTGTCACACAGGCTGAAATGCAGTGGTGCAATCACAGCTCACTGCAGCCTCAAACTCCTGGGCTCAAGCAATCCTCCCACCCCAGCCTCTGGAGTAGCTGATACCACAAGTGTGCCACCATTTCTAGCTTAGTTTTTGTTTTTTCCTTTTTTTGTAAAAATGAGGTCTCCCTATGTTGCCCAGGCTGGTCTTGAACTCTTGGCCTCAAGCAATCCTCCTGCCTCAGCCTCACAAAATGCTGGAATTATAGGCGTGAGTCACCAAGCCTAGCCTCTCAACCCCATTTGAGCTACATTAGTATGTGATCTTGAGCTAATTAACTAACTTCTCTAAATTTTATATTTCTAATAGACAAAAGAGGGATACATAATACTACACCTCATATAAGAATGTCAGAGACTTAGATAGAAAACTTCGGTCAAAGACACCTGGTACGTCACTTGCTGTATGATGGGTAATTAATAAGCTTTAGATTCTCTTGCCTCATATTTCTTCCACAGTCTTTTGATACCCTTCTATAAAGATCTACCCCACTGTTCAAGCCAACCCTCTGACTTTGTTTCAGTATGTTCTGGTTTCTTCTCAGGATTTACTAAAATAATGAATATAAATGATAATACCAAATCCTTACAAATCTTTTTTTTTTTTTTTTTTTTTTTTTTTTTTTTTTTTTTTTTTTTTTTTTGAGACGGAGTCTCGCTCTGTCGCCCAGGCCGGACTGTGGACTGCAGTGGCGCAATCTCGGCTCACTGCAAGCTCCGCTTCCCGGGTTCACGCCATTCTCCTGCCTCAGCCTCCCGAGTAGCTGGGACTACAGGCGCCCGCCACCGCGCCCGGCTAATTTTTTGTATTTTTAGTAGAGACGGGGTTTCACCTTGTTAGCCAGGATGGTCTCGATCTCCTGACCTCATGATCCACCCGCCTCGGCTTCCCAAAGTGCTGGGATTACAGGCGTGAGCCACCGCGCCCGGCCACAAATCTTTTTTTTATTCTTGCCTTTTTTTTTTTTTTTTTTTTAGACAGGGTCTCACTCTGTTGCCCAGGGAGTGCAGTGGCACGATCTTGGCTCACTGCAACCTCTGCCTCTTGGGTTCAAGTGATCCTCCTGCCTCAGCCTCCTGAGTAGCTGGGATTACAGGCACGAGCCACCATGCCCAGCTAATTTTTGTATTTTTAGTAGAGACAGCATTTCACCATGTTGGCCAGACAATTCTTAATAATCAAATAGTTTTTATTATATTTATATTACATAGACACTCATGTCTCTCTATTTTCTTGGATAAGTCTCTTTTGAGGGAGAAAAAAAATGCTTCTTGAACCAATTGATTCATCAGCCAATGGAACGTCCTACATCCCAGTTGGCAAAGTTTTGGCTCAGATCATGCAGAAAATAGAGAATGGGGAGATCTGTGGCATGAAGACAGAAAAGGTGGATTATTGAAATCAAATTTTTCCATATTTTTCTTATCATTACAATATCTGCAGCTCCCTGGGAACATGCTCAAAGGCTTGATGTGAAATGAACAGATGTCCTGCCTTTTAATTTAATTTCTGCTTAATTTTATGCAAAGACTAACCGTTTTTCTTAAGTCATTTTTATTACAGTTCATACAAGAAAGAGCTCTTGCAAGTAATTACTTCATAAAACTTGAGGGAATAAATCACAGAACTTCAGGATTAATAGGGAACGCAGGCATGAATCTTCCTTACATGCCAGGAGAGAACCTCCTGAAATAATATGCTAAAATCATAGAATGCTAAAAGAAAGACCAGAGTAGAATGAAAGATCATCTTTTCCAAATGCTTAATTTTGTCTCCTGAAGAACCTAAGCCCCAAATAACTCAGATAAGTTACCCATGTTCCACAGTTGATGTATGTCTTTAAACCTGGGCCAATACGTGCACTGGGTCCTCACAAACACTGGGGGGCAAATATCATTAAACTCTGGGAACCAAAGTTATGCAACTTGCCAACAGACCTAAACAGTCATTGGCTACAAGAAGACTAAAGATACAAACCTCATAGGTATTGATGGGAGTGCAGATAAATAAACAGAAAATGTACATGTATCTGGTTTTTTATTGGTGTTCAATATTGTATCAAGTATGTTGTAAACATTATGTTAACCTCCGGAGGGCCATTTCTACTGCCGTCCTCTCAGAAGCATTAGAGTATTCTAAAATGACAGTTGAAAGGCAGGGAGGGTCAGTGTTGTTGGATCCAGGCACAGATATTGGGATTGACCCCTTGGGGCAGCCAAGAAGAAACAGGCGGTTGTTGGCTCTGTTAAAAAATGCTTGCTACAGTTCAACATTTAGGATTTAGCTCTGATTCCTTGGAGACCTCTGTTTCACTTCAAGATAATTTCCCTCAAGCATACATGGGGGAAAAGAAATTTCTGAAAAAGCATATCGGCCCAGTCATATTTCCTAGAGTGTAAGTATTTTTCAAAATTAACTGAACTGTCAATTTACTCTAAAAGATGGCTATTAGGAACTTAACTGTAAAGTTACAGACAGTTGTCAGAAGCACAATAAAGTGAACAATCAATTTGGTTAGACTTTACTTGGAAGACCTTCTTACATTGAGAACTTTGCCTCTGCCACTTATTAAGACAGAATAATTAGGACTATATATCCAAAATTGCCCTTCCTGAAAATCTAGTTCAATGCATAAGTTCCACATTTGCAAAGGCTCAAAAGAGTAAAGTGATTTCCAAAGATTTTATTTCTTAGCACAAAAAATATTAGGACACATCACTTATTAGTCAAATCCACAGCTACATTCACCCATGCTTTCTCTTCAAATGTTAGCTACAAATGAGAAAGAGAGACACAGAGTAAGAGAAAGGCTTTCATGAAAAACGGAAGCAAAACTGTCAACATTTAAGGATGCTGAATCAGGGTAGAAGCAAGGGAAGATGATTAAGAAGAAGCATTTTCGTTGTTAAATGGAAAATGAGGAAGAAAATATGAAGTCAAGGTGTCTAAAGATATTCATAACTTTAAGAAGAAGGACTAATTAACAGTCTCAACTTTGACAGTGAAGAAAATGATCGATAGGATAATGGACTGAAGATATATTTAATAGAAGGTTGTCTTGCTTTCTACTCTTTACCATCCCATTTAAAGTTTGGAGAGGGTGGCAAGGGACAGGAGGAAAGCATAAGTGGGTGGAAAAGTGAATATGTGTAGGTATTTTAGGAGCTCGCTAGTCTAACCATAGAAGGCTGTCACTCAGACACAGCCAGTTGTATGCAGGGGTGGTGTCCTAGTTTTGCCAAGTTGTCTAACGGTTCATGAGAAACAGAAAATCTGGATTATTTAGTGATATATTTCATTGTCTCTAGAAACGTGTATCAATGAAATAAAACATACTCCTCAGTTAATTCAGCTTGTAGATGACAAGTTTGAGCACTCGATGCATTGTTGTGAGCATGTGGCAGTTTAAAATAAAATCTGCTAATATTCTGCTGGCCAGATTATCTTTCCCTTTGTATCTACGAAATGACTTCCAGCAAAAATCAGAAAGCCAAGGGTAAAAACCCAGGTAACACTAATATTTAAGGCAAGGGAGAGAGATCTAAAAGAAAACAGAGTAGTAAGATAGAAATAAAAAGACCGATAGAAAATGAAGACTGGAACGTTTAAGGAAATAGGTGTAACGAACTGCATCAAATTCAGCTAACTATTCTTATAAGCAGAGATTGAAAAATAATCATTCAGCTTCTCAAGCATTAGCACATTGATAACCTTGATGGGTACTATGTAAATAGCTTGATGTTAACAGAATGAGATTTCTAAGTGTTTGGAACAAAAATGAGATTACAGAATAGACAGAAATTCTGAGTATCACTTTATGAAATAAAGCTATTTGTAACTGTCCACTCTGTCTTCCCCTCACATGGGTTCCATGATTTCCAGAGCTTTTAGATTAGAAAGAGACTTGACCGATGAATATTGTCAAGGAGAAAGACCCTGGGCTTTTAACAAATTAATTTGGCTAGAACAAAGATGATATTAAAGAGACTAGCAAGAGATAAGGGGATGAAAAGCAACTGATGTCAGCCAGCAGAGGAATTGAAATGTCATTCTCAAAATTTCAACCTTAGCACATTAACAAGTTTTTTTTACTGAGCAACCTCCATTTCATTGTGTGAAACATTTGACAACAAACATTTATAATTCTTATAGTGATATAGGTTTTCTCACCATCTTTACAATGAGTATAATATTAAGATATTCTGTAGTACCCACACTTAGTGACCTATACCAAATCTCGAAGATCAACCTTTGGTTTCAGCTGCAGCCGGGGCAGGCAGTTCCCACGCATTCCAAGACTGCTGCATCTGAAATTTCTGCTATATCTCTCAGTTTTTCTACTTCAGATATTTTTGCAAATGCTCAGGAGCTTGCTTAGCTGATTCATTGAACAGCACAAACATGTAAGGGAATTGACATACCTAGTGGCCAGCTTCTACCAATGGAGAATGGAAATGATAAACAAATGTCTCCTATCTCTTATCCTTCAAAGTGATGCTTTCTACATGGTACTTCAGAAGCCATCTGTAGGATTTAGCTCCATCCACAGTGGGAACTAAGTCCTTTACTCAGGCTTTGCTGTCAGAATGGTTCCTTAGGTAGAACGGCATCCAACCTTCAGAACATCCTGTTTCACTGAGGTGTCCATCTTCTTTGCACTATGTCAGGGCAACTCTTCACACAAGGGAAACTGAAGATTTAGCGGAAAAACAAAGAGAGACTTCCTGAGGTTTTTCAGGGAAAAAACAGTTGGCAGAATGTGGCAGAATAGAGTGGAAATAGGGATCCCCTTGGGGGTCGGGGAGGGGAGGCGTGTTCCTCATCACGCAGCTTCCCAACTGAGAAACCTTCTGTAGACCTCACACGGAAGAAGTTGGTTCTCTAACTTTGCCCTTTTAAAATGTACCTCTCTTCCTTTGGGAAAATCAGCCTCTTGGGTCCTATAGTTTACTGCATTTTCCCAAGATAGTCATTGTTTCCATTGCGGTTTCAGCAGTATTTTTGATGTTTGACAGTTCAAACTAGCCTGACATTTCCAAAGCCACATACAATGAGAAAACAGCTGAGTACTTGGTTTTACAAGTATTTTCAAAGAAAAGAGAGGCATTTGCTTCCAGCTTTGTCATTCCTTATCTTAATGAGCCTTTAATTGATAGATCAACCAAGGAAAACTTATGAGATTTTGCTGTTAAACTTAATAAAGGTTTTACAAATGGATTTGACACACTGTTTGAATGCCCGCTTAAAATAGTGAATCATTTGAGACCAGGGAAGAGAGTTATTAAAAGAAACATTGGGGCATGGAAGGGCAAAACACCTTTGGAAAGCTACTTGAAACAAAACGTTTAAATAATGAGTAGTACAAAATTCTATATACTGGAAGCATGACCTATGTGAAATAATAATCATATAATTCATGTGATTACGGATATCATCATATATGGGCCTTCGCCAAAGAGCTTAGGATAAAAATACATAAAATAAAGACAAAGTGATTATTTTCAGTCAGTTTGTTTTCTAGGAAGGTGGATCTTGTGAAATGAAAAACTATTTTATGCTACTGGATTTGGAATGTATGAAGGTAGGCCTGGAGCCAATTATAGCAGAAAGTGTGCAGAAGTGAATTATTGTTTTTTATTAAGAGGACTCGAGTAACTCCCTGTCGATTCATGCAGGAGTGAGGGTAGAAGAGAAACAGGAAAAGAGGGTAAACATCTTGAGGTGATTTGAAGGTGGGCGATTACAACAAAAAATAGTTTAAATGCTTTCATGTTGTTGTAATCAAATTTTATTTTTAAGGCCAAATCCTTGTTCATGTTGAAGTTGTTTTGTTGTGATATAATCCAATTTCCTATTATGTTCTATTTCTAAAAATCATAGTAGAAGTCCGTTCTGCCATATTCCATAATATCTATTACACTACACAATACCTTCTGTAAAAGGGACATTTTAAGGGATCTGGGAAATGGAATTCATTTGATACTTTTCAGAATAGAGACAGCACGCACAGAGGCTGGCATGGGAGCAGAATAATCCAGAAAAGGAGCTCGCTAACCGTCCTTATTGTCTTCCCCAAATATGTTTGCTAAAACATACCTACTGTAGGGCTTTGATTTTACGCAAAGATTAAAAGAGGGGATTTAGTAGATGTTTTCATGATCTGACCCTCTGAAAAGGGTCAGAAGACTCTAGCTGACATGTGAGTTATGCAGATATTAGCAACGTGAAATACATAGTAGTAGTTAAAAAACAAAACAAAACAACTAACCAGAAATTATTTTCCCTACTTCCTAGGGCTATTATGAACTTCAACTGCTAACTGTAATGAGGTTTAGTATGGAAAACGCAGGACCATAGACTCAGAGTTAGAAAGACATCTAGTGTAGTAGTTAATTTAAAGATTATTGCTGCTTTTATTGAAGAGTTGTACAGTTTATGGGATTTTACATAGAACTATGCCCCTCCCCACAACCCCAGAAAAAAGTGGTGACCTATTTTATTGAAGCACTTCTTGTGACTTCGGGGAACTCAATTTGAGATTTATCAACACAATTCCATATTCATATTTATAGACAGAGAAATAGATAAACATGGTTTGTTCAAGTGTGTACAACCTGTGAGGGGTGGAAGTGAGCTTAGAAACCAAATTATCTCAGACCTAATACAAGACTTCCTCTATTACGGTACTACGTCTATCTTACATAAGATCTACATAGATTATAAGCAATTGACTCAAGGCCTTTTACATTTTTGTTTATTCCTGCTCCCGAAACTACCAACTTTAAATACTTTTTTTATATTTGAATTCTTTAGACATGTTTTTCAGTTATATAATCATTATAATTTCCTGACCACCACCACAACTTGTAGCACCACTACCACCACCATTGTCCTTCTCTCCATTTCGCAAATCACCTTTTATTTCTATTCCCTTTCCCATGAATGGTTGCTGCCAAAAAAATCTTTTGTTTCACTGGCAGCAAATGGTGGATAATGATATGAAAATAAATCAAGAAAGAGCTAGAATGTTTTGCATGAAAAAATGAAACAATATTCTCAGAAGGAGAATGAAAATTATTGCAAAGAAGAATAAGCTTTAAATAATTAATTGTGGTCAGAGAAAAGAGATGGATGGGTGAGAAACTTGAAGAAGAGATCTGGACAAAAGTAGGGCAAAAACACAGCTACTAAAGAAAGTAAAACATTTGATTCAATAGGGAAATTAAAAATAGTGAAGGTTATGACCATGGCCAGTATTGGGGATGCATTGTCATTTTCCTGTATTTTCCTTATCTATCTTTTTCTTATGAATTATATGATTTGGTCACAGTGAAGTTCTAGACCAACAATAGATTAAATCAGTCTGGTCTGTGATTTTATAGAAGGCAGATCTTATAATGATAATAAAACAATACAACTAGGGAATAACTTTGGCTCTTAAAGAGAAGAGGGACAAGAGGAGTTGATTGGGACAAGAGAACCATGAGTGACCTCTCTGTCCTGCTAATCCTCTAATGCTTCTTCATGAATTTTTTACTCCAAGCCTGAGGGAAAGAAAATCTAATGTTTTATTTCACTAATATTACTGTATATACTGAGGTCTCCAAATATTAGAGAACACCACAGTTTATAAAATCCAAAGCTCTTTATAATTTGAACTTAACATAATCTATGTTTAGTCAGAGCACACAGTGACTGGAAAATGAAAGAAACAAAATTGACACATTTGGGAGATAACAAAGGTAAAATTATCCATCACACTCTGGACACTTTTTCCAGTACGGAATGTGTTGTTTCCCCTATTGCACAGATGAAAAAAACTGAGGCTTAGGTTGGTTAAGAATAAAGTCTATGGAAAATCAACTGGTAGTTTTGGAGTCTAGATGAGTGAATGAATAGAGGTTTTATTGTCTTGGCTGACAACCAGCTGCTGCACAACGCATTATGACAACCAAGAGAGTAGTCAAAGAGCCAGAAATTATTATTATAGACATTATGAGGTATGTTATATTGTAATATCACTGACTTGTCTGCAGTTGGTTTTTAATTCCTTTTATAATGCCATAGGAAATTTTAGAACAACATTTGAAAGTGTGCTACAAATACAAAAGCTGAAATGCTAAATTGCTGAAGAAAAATCGTCAGTAATTCCCAGGTATTCTTTAAGTTTTCAAAATTGCCCCAGAATCAGTCTCTCTTTAGCTTTGTCTGTTCCGAGAGGATGGATTACACCCTCCATTGAGAGAGTTTCAGTCATTACTGTCTCCAGGACATGATGCAGCAGAAACCCAGCGTTTTCTTTAGAAGCTGTGTTTATTAATTACAACAAAGCACAGGACAGAACTGATGTTCCAGGTTTTGAGAAGTCTCTTAGCACCGCATTTGCCCCATTATCACAGGTAATAAAGCCAGTTTACAGAAAGCAAAAGGCAAATATTCCAGTGAGTCAGAATAAAATAGAAGGACATTTAGTCAGCTCTCAAATTAGCAACTGTTTATTTTTATTTTTTCAGTTTTGCACATAATGCTCTTACTACTGTGTCTTTAAAGGGGAAGTATTTATTTTACATCCTGTTAGTGGGAGTGTAAATTGGTACAGCACTTCTCCAGATCTGTGGGAAACATGAATGAAATGCCTACCAAATGTTTGTATATCTTGACCTAGTAATTCTAATTCTGTTCCTAGCAAATTTATCCTGAGTTGAATATCAGATATTTTAATCAACATGTATGTACAATGGTGTTTATTACATCAATAATTATCATGGTTATAACACTGTAAATAACCCTTACAAAATTAGACATAGAATTTAAGAAAACTATATTTAAAAACTCAGTTATGTGAAAATACTGAATGGCATGAGAAATGAAAATGTAAAATAGAGCTTAAGATAACATATTTGATATATTATACTAAAATGCTGTAGTGTAGTTATAAGCTCTCTGTGTGTGTGCTGTGCTGTGCGTGTGTGTTGTGCTGTGTGTGTGTGTGTACATGTGTGTGTGTGCTGAGTATCCCTCATCTGAAATACTTTGGACAGAAAGTGTTTCAAGTTTTGAATTTTAATAAATTTCAAAATATCTGCATGATACTTGTCAGTTCAGGATCCCTAATCCCAAAATCCAAAATCTGAAATGCTCTAATGATCATTTAATCATTTCCTTTCAGTTTTGTGTCAGAGCTCAAAATATTTCAGATTTTGATTTTGTATTTTCAGATTAGGAATACTCTCCCTCTTTCTCTCTTCCTCCCCCCCATATATATACCCACACACATATATACACACATATATATGTACACACATGAATGTACACACACATGCACATACACATATATATATAAAGATTTTACTATATATAGATATATAGATAGGTTATTTATATATCTAAACACATATTAAGATTATAATATTAATAATCTAATGTTATAGTAAACTTCATTTGGATAAAACTATGTAAAAAAGTAAACAAAAGTAAAGAAATGACCAGAAAATAATATTAGTTATAGTTATTGGTAGTTGAATTTAGAGATGACTTGTATTTCTTTTTTATTTTTTAACTATGGGTATATTTTCTGAAGCAATCAGAAAAAATAGTTTTCCGACTAAAAATAACAATCATAATTACTGTAAAGAAGTTACTCAAGATAATAGGATTTTTTAAAAAATGAAGAAACAGACTAATAGACCAACCAAATAGAATACAGATCCCAGAAGTAAATCCTCACATATGTGGTCAAATAATTTTCAATAAGTGTATCAAGACAATCAAGTTGGGAAAGGACAGTCTTTTAAACAAACTCTCGGGAAAACCGTATATACATAGGCCAAAGAGTAAAATTGGACCCTTACCATACACCACACAAAAAATAAGCCAAAAATGGATCAAAGATTTAAATGCAGGACCTAAAACTATTAAAGTCTTAGAAGAAATCATATGGAAAAACTTGATGACATTAAATTCGCAATGATTCCTTAAAGGTGGTACCAAAAACATGAGCAACAAAAGTTAAAACAGAAAAAAATGAACAACATCAAACTTAAGTCTTCTGGTCATCAAAAGATAACAGTCAATGCAGTAAAAAGGCAACCTACAGAATAAAAGAAAATATTTCCAATTCAAATACTTGACAAAAGGTTAATAACCAGAATATATAAAGAACTCCCACAACTCAACAACAACAACAAAACATATAACTCAATTTAAACATAGGCAAATGACTTGAATAGACATTTCTCCAAGGAAGATATGCAAATAATCAAAAAACATGAAAAGTTGCTCAACATCACTAACCATCAGGGAAATGCAGATCTAAACCACTTTGATATGTCACATCTGAATAGATTCCATTATCATTGGAATGGCTACTGTAACAAACAACAACAAAAAACCCAGAAAATAACAAGTGTTATGGAGATGTGGAGAAATTGGAACCCTAGGGCACTGTTGGTGGGAATGTAAAATGGCACTGCTTCTACGGAAAACATCATGGCAATTCCTCAAAATATTAAAAATAATATTACCACATGATTTAGCAATTCCACTTCCTGGTACATATCCAAAAGACGTGAAAGCAGGATCTCAAATAGATATTTGCACAACCACGTTCACAGCAGCATTATTCACAGTAGCCAAAAGGTGGAAGCAACTCACACGTCCGTCAAAATGAATGAATGGGTAAAATGATGCGGTATACACATTCCATAGAATATTATTCAGCCTTTAAAACAGAAGGATGTTTTGACACCTCTACAACATGAGTGAACCTTAAAGACATTGTGCTAAGTGAAATAAGACAGTCACTGGAAGAAAAATACTGTAGGACTTCACCTACAGATTTCTGGAGTTTTCCAGAGCAGGCAACTCACAGAAACAGAAAGTGATTAAATGGTGGTTGCCAGAAGATGGGAAGAGAGAGAATTGGGGAGTGTTGTTTAATGGGTCTAGAGTTTCAGTTTTGTAAGATGAAACAGTCCTGGAGGTCTGTTGCACAAGAATGTGAATATACTTAACACTGTTAAATCGTGTGCTTAAAGATGGGTGAGATGGCAAATGCTATGTTATATATAATTTACCAGAATTCCAAAAAGAAGAGGAATAAGGGGTGAGTAGGGAGAGCCTCTCTGAGGCAGGAACTTGGGAGCAGAGACCTCAGTTTGAAGATAAAGTCATGAAGAGATCCAGAAGAACTTTCCTGGATGCAAGAACAGAAAGGGAAGGGCTCTGGGATAGGACCAGGTGGGTGTGTTGAATAAGAGATGTCAGTGCTGGAGCATAAGGAAGCAAGAGAGGTAGTAGAGGTGAGGTCAACGAAGGCGTCAAGGTCAAAATTTTCCTATATTGTAGAATATGCAAGGAGGCTGGATTGCATTTTAAAAATAATTTTTAAAAGCAACAGAAGTTTTAAGGAAAATGGTCTAATTTGATAGACTTCTTTGATCTCTTGCTAATGTGAAAAGGGTTTTATGAGAGCAAGCACAGAAACAGAAACTCCAGTGAGGAGCTGTTTTATTATTCAAAGCCAGAGTAAGAGGTGCTCTTGAGTCACTTGGATAAGTCACATCCCCTCTAAGAGAACCCAAATCTGTATTTCTCCTTGAGTGTTGGGAAACCAGGATTTATCCATCTAATAATTCTATGATTCCATACAGGATTGGAGGGGACTATTATATAACACAGGCAGAATGAGGCTTAGGAATGCATTTCACTTAATTGATAGACCTGTCTTGTTTCTGCCCCAGCACACTTATTCTGTATAGAAATTTACATTTGACCATTTTTATTTGGAAAGAATATAAAATCAGTACTCTAAGGAATGTTGTCTTTTCTCATCTTTCTGCATGTGACATAAATTCCATGTAGTTGGGAGGCTTGTGGGATATATCTGAGGGAAGAACTGGGGAGAGAAACTGTATTAGAGACCCTGAAAACAGCAGCAACATAGGGAGTCCTGCTTTTTCTAGTTTTTAGCAAACTCAGTGCAAATATTATTTTAAGGAAAACAGTGCAGGATTTATATTTGGACAAAACTGGTTTGAAAATATAGCTTTGTCACTTAGGAGTCAGTTAGTTTTCAGAAATCTCCAATAAAGTATATCAGGGCTGTTTTGGATTTCATATCCCAGCTTTAATAATCCTTTATTTCTTCACTGTGTGTACAGCAAGCCTTGTACTTCATTAGTAGCTACACGACATTGATGAAGCACACGGATGTTGAAGGCATTCAGAATATGTCTAATCCTAGCTGTGTTGTTTTCGAACTTTGTGAATTTTTTGGAACTAGCTGAGCCTTAGTTTTCTCACCTAAAAACAAATTAATGGTGCTTGCACTTCACATAGTGGTTCTTACCATTTCCCCCCTCCCCATTGTTTCTGTTTATGGATGGATAGAAGCATAGGTCTCAGTTTGTGCATATAAAATGATGGTAGGAGGTTCGCAAGGGTTTTCAAATATTCAGTTTTCAATTGTCTCAAAGATAAGGAACCAGAAAAAAAGAAAATCTTCAAAAGACTCACCAGGGAGGTCATCCCTGGAATGAATTTGGGATGGGTATCCAGGAGACAGGATTATAATGTTGATTCTGTCATTAGCTGGTTCAATCTTGATGACCTCAAAGATGGTCAGTTCCCTTACATTGGCCTTAGTCCCTCCATCATGAACTAACCTTGGAAACCATAGACCCAGCTGGAAGGATTTAGATAAAAATAAATGTGTATCTTATTCTATCAGACTTCCTTCCACTCATCTCTTTTCATCACAGATTCTGTTGCTTTAGAGAAAAGCCAGAGAATCAGTCTTCCGCCACACACCCCTCTCACTCTCTCCTTAGGATACTCAATGGGTAACTAGGTTTGGGAACTGCTGGACTTGATGCTCACTCACATAAACCTTGCTTGTATCAGGCTCTACAATTCGGCAACCAATTTAATGGTCTCCTCTGATACTTTGAAGATGCCCTCTGTTTAACTCTTTAGGTTGCAACTGACAATTAATCAATTGTTTTACTTATCTGGGCTTTTTGAAATAATCAACAGGGAGAGTGACAGCCATTTTCACTGTGAGGCCTCAAAGAAAAGAAAAGATTAAACAAACCACATGTGTATCATACAGACTGGAACTTGTTTCTGAAATAAATTCTTTGGGATAAAATGCAGCCCTATTGATTAAGTGTATCCATTAAGCATTAGAAATGGTTTTTAACTTCAAGGAACTGGTAGCTTAAATAGGAGCCTATAGCTTTTACAACATGCATTCTGCAGTGCTAGCAGCTATTGTTAGTTCTGCAACCCAGTGATGTCAGGATCAGCATTTCTGCAAGATATTTGAAATTTTCCTCACTCTAGTTGGCTCAAGATAAAACAGAAGGATGATGTGTTGCCAAGTATTACATCCACATTTTATATAGGATGAAGGGACAGGGTGAATGATATTCTTTTCAAAAAATTTTCTCTTTTTAAAAAATACCTATTTCTCTTAGGAAACACGATTTCTACTCAGAAGATCTCATGTTTCAATACTTCATGCATTTTTTTATTTTAGTTATGCTCTCTTTTCATTGCAGTAAGATATACACAATTTTTTTTTATTTACTAAAAATATTGGGAACTATGTCTTAGTGTGGCAAAGGTACTTAGCAAATATTCTGTCTGAGGCTTTCCATGTCTACTCCCTCATTCAATTAGGCAGGAGCATATAGCTATGTTATGGACAGGATAATGCCAACAGGAGTTGCCAGATGAGACTTCCAGGGAAGCTCCTTAAAATGCAGTGCTTTATTTGTCTTTATTTTATTTTGTTTATTTTAATTAAACACATTATTTTCCTCTAAAAACTGAAGGACCATTAATTTAAAAAAAGAAGAATAAATATTTTAGTTGTCTTTACTACAACATAATAAGTGCAAGCAGTTTGGAGACAGAATTGAAAGCCATTCCCCAAATGACTTCAAAATTATTAATTTAAGATATAGTGTGGTGTGGTAAATAGAGTCTTAGGGTTAGTTAGGCATGAGTTAAAAATTGACAAGTGTTGAATTATGTGATATACTAGAGATATTGTGTTTTTATTTGTTTCAGCGAAAGACTATAAAGTCAATATGATTTATCCTCAATAAGAGAAAACTATGGCTCAGTGAAATTAAGTAATGGGTCTATGCTGCTCACCCATGAACTCCACTTTGTGTACCAAGGTTTTATAGGTATTCATTGAATATTCATTTCTTTTTTTGTGTGGGTATGTAGTAACATTTTATTGTGATTTTAATTTGCATTTTTTTATACTTTAAGTTTTAGGGTACATGTGCACAAGTGCAGGTTAGTTACATATGTACACATGTGCCATGTTGGTGTGCTGCACCCATTAACTTGTCATTTAACATTAGTTATATCGCCTATGCTATCCCTCCCCCTTCCCCCCGTCCCACAATAGGCCCCGGTGTGTGATGTTCCCCTTCCTGTGTCCATGTGTTCTCCTTGTTCAATTCCCACCTATGAGTGAGAACATGCGGTTTTGGTTTTTTGTCCTTGTGATAGTTTACTGAGAATGATGGTTTCCAGCTTCATCCATGTCCCTACAAAGGACATGAGCTCATCATTTTTTATGGCTGCATAGTATTCCATGGTGTATATGTGCCACATTTTCTTAATCCAGTCTATCATTCATGGACATTTGGGTTGGTTCCAAGTCTTTGCTATTGTGAATAATGCCGCAATAAACATATGTGTGCATGTGTCTTTATAGCAGCATGATTTATAGTCCTTTGGGTATATACCCAGTAATGGGATGGCTGGGTCAAATGGTATTTCTAGTTCTAGATCCCTGAGGAATCGCCACACTGACTTCCACAATGGTTGAACTAGTTTCCAGTCCCACCAACAGTGTAAAAGTGTTCCTATTTCTCCACATCCTCTCCAGCACCTGTTGTTTCCTGACTTTTTAATGATTGCCTTTCTAACTGGTGTGAGATGATATCTCATTGTGGTTTTGATTTGCATTTCTCTGATGGCCAGTGATGATGAGCATTTTTTCATGCGTCTTTTGGCTGCATAAATGTCTTCTTTTGAGAAGTGTCTGTTCATATCCTTTGCCCACTTTTTGATGGTGTTGTTTGTTTTTTTCTTGTAAACTCAAAACCACTCAACTACATGGAAACTGAACAACCTGCTCCTGAATGACTACTGGGTACATAACGAAATGAAGGCAGAAATAAAGATGTTCTTTGAAACCAACGAGAGCAAAGACACAACATACCAGAATCTCTGGGATACATTCAAAGCAGTGTGTAGAGGGAAATTTATAGCACTAAATGCCCACAAGAGAAAGCAGGAAAGATCTAAAATTGACACCCTATCATCACAAGTAAAAGAACTAGAGAAGCAAAAGCAAACACATTCAAAAGCTAACAGAAGGCAAGAAATAACTAAGATCAGAGCAGAACTGAATGAATATTAATTTCTATCACTTTTTTCAGGTTTGAATTTCACCCAGTACCTGGCTCAAAATAATGTTCAATATATATGTTTTATGATCACAAAGCAAAATAGTCAACAGATTCTACTTTTGTAATGTACGTAAATGTAGACGATTAATCATTAATCAATCTGGATAGTGTAAAGGACACTTCCCAAACTCCGACCGCATTAAGCAATCTCAATTTTGTTCCCCAGCAGTTGATATACTTTATTTCCATCTACAGAAATCTGCACTGCTCTATTGTGAGGATCTAGTATGGCGTAAAGATGCATTAGGGATTCTGTTCCCTGTCTCTTTAAGAGAACACAGATGAAGACTTAAACCCAGAAAGTTTTTAACAACTTTTTTTTGTCCTCTCAACATTTGTTGTTTACAGTTGCCTCATAGACCAAGTTGATGGGAAAAAATAAGAAACTAAAAATAAGCGAGGTCTTTCATTCGCAGGGGTAATGCAGTTACATAAGTCAAAGTGGCAGGTCATATGAAGCCCTCTGTGATTCCTTGGGGTTTCTGTCTCATTTCACTGGCTAGCAACCAGTGAAACAGTAGGATATATATTTTTCTATTAGGTTGTCAATATTTTGACCAAACAACCTATTTATAACATTCAGGATTACTGTTCTGTTCGTGAGAACCACTAGAAGTTGCTGTGTGCAGAAAGTCAGCTTGAGATTTGAAACAGCATGATTAAGTAGGGTATACTAACTTGCTTCCCAGGTTTCATCTGCTTGTCAGTCATGTAAGTATAATACACTCATCATTGTGGCCAATTATCAGAAATCACCATTAAATAACTTATTTATGTAACCAGACACCACCAGTTCCCCCAAAACTATTGAAATAATAATAATAAATTAGCTATTTATTTAATAAAGGCAGTGACACGTAGTAATTAAGCAGGCTTTAAGGTTAGACTACCTCTGTTCTAAGTACCACCTGGGGCATCAGTACCATCGGTACTTTCATAACCTTTGCAAATTGCTTTTCTTTTCTTCGCTTCGGTTTTTGTATCTATAAAATGAGGAAAACAGTAATGTCTGTTGCACACAGTTGTGAGGATTAAAAAACTTATTGCATGTAAATCACTCAGACAATGCAAGGCAGACATTGCAGCCTCAACCTCCTGGGTTCAAGCAAACATCCCACCTCAATGCAAGGCATTGTCTGACCCCAATAAATACTAGTTATTATTAAAAAATATATTATACCTACTATTACTAATGTTAATAAGTAATAAGAATAAGATAAGATAAAAATTTAAGATTCTGAGTTTACTTGGAGGTAAACTCAGTGGAGAGAGAATTGGCTTATCGACTACTCTTTTTTTTTCCCCAAAATACTATTTAGCCTCATGACCATAGCTTTCCTGTGGTGGACTTAGGGATACTGAAGACTTGCTAGTTATGATTGATGTTGAAGGTCAATAATCTCTCCTGTTACAATTACAGAGAAAGGCATGTGTGTGTGTGTGTGTGTGTGGGTGTGTGTGTGTCTGTGTGTGTGTATGCATACATGCATACCTATAAATTATAATTGCCTGCCAATATTAAAGCTCTAATGGGCTTAAAACACCAGGCAGTGATTAAACACTGAATAAGAATATAAGGGGGTAAAACAAAGGGAGAAAGAAAATCATTGTTTTATAGATATATAATACAAGAAAACTTTTTTTATTATAGAAATTTTGTCTATCAAAAATCATCTTTTCAATTAATAAAAGGTGATTCTCAGCCTTTTAATATTTCTTTAGGTTTTCCTGAGATCCCAATGGGCGCAATTATATCCAAAAGTGTAATTATCCAGTGTGATGAAATTGCATTTGTTCTAACAGGGCTGTGTTTATAACAATTCCCCATCTGAGAAAGAGAGATACTCAGTGTCAATAATCAATTGACCCAAATTATGGAGAGACTTTTGGAAAGCATACACATATGAAAGAAAACAGAAGAAATTTCAAAAGTGTCCCAAGGAATCTTGTTGGATTGTGTAGCATACATTATTAGAGATGCAAAATAGAGATATTTGTATACTTTGGCTGTTTAAAATATAAATAGAATACCTTGGGAGAAATTTGCTCAGAAGCAAAATTTAAAATGTCAAAGTGACACAAAACGGTATAAGGTCACAAGAAACTTTAAAAAGACATTTCCTTTTTTCTTTAATTATCTTTTTTTTTTCTTGCTGCTTTTAAAAATAATGTATAGTACATCTGGCACACTGACTATAGGCCACTGACATGGCTCCCACTCTCTAGCCCTTACTCCTTCTTGAATATAACTGAATTGCCCACAAAAGCACAGATCACACTCAAACTGTCTAAACATCTGCTAGAATCATTGGAACACCACTGATTAAATTTCAACAATCCACCTGCTCCTCCAACTCAACTTTCCTGGTACTTCAATGCCTCTTCTTCACTTTGAGCTCTTTGTGCCCTATCCCTCCCACATACATACTTTAGTTGTTCATCATAGAAACCAACCCTGATGAACTTTTACAAGTAGAAGACATGCATTGAACAGGTAGGCCATCTGAAAGAAGACACCGGCTAACTGAAGGAATCTTAGTCTATGAGTTTCTGCTGCTCTCAAAACCATCGAAGAGTTATTTTTAATTGCTTTCTGCAACTGTGTGTCTCCCTCCAAATCTATAGTTTTAAGAAAAAAACACGTAATTAGCCTTATTGGTATTACAGGCCTACACAGAGCCAGTAATACCAATTGTAATTCCCATTGAGTGGGAAAACAGGTAGTAATGCCTATCCACCCAATAAGACATATTAGGCAAATGAAGCCAACATTACCCAGTGTTCATTACAAATTATTCATCTGGTTCTCTTCATTGATAAATCTACACATGGGCATACTTTTAGGATATACTTAGCTTCATACTTCAGTAATTCTACCAAGACTGAAATATTTACTATTTACTAGTCATTATTAACCCTTGAATTCCCAGTGCTTAGCAGATAGTCAAATTTTCTGCTCTCAAAGCATATATTCTAGTGAAATGAAATTCCACTCATCAAAAATTATCTTATTTGCTTAGGTAATATTATATGTATGATATGAATAAGATCAAATGAGCAAACGAACAAAGGGATAGAGAGGAATAACTTTATAAAAGGTTGTCAGAGAAGACCTCTCTCATGAGATGAAATTTACTCCCAGTTCTGGATGATAAGTGGGACCAGGTCCTGTGGATTATTCAAGGAAAAAGAAAATATTGCAAGGCCATAATCGGGGTCAAATGTTCTGTGATGAGGATGGGCTTGGTCTATTTGAGGAGTCAACATGGTTGGACCATTGTGAAACAAAGGCAACAATGTAGGATACAAAGTTGAAGAGAACGGGGGGTGATCTATGCTCTGCCAAGTTATAGAGCAGGATTTATGCCAAGTGCAAATGGAAGTCACTAGAGGCTTTTAAGAGGGTGGCACAATTTGTTTTATGCTTTAAAAAATTCACTCTGGATTCTACAGAACAGAGATAATTGGAAGGTAAGGACAAAGACAGAGATCTGATGAGAAATGATGATGTGAAGGCGGTGAGATGTGGTTAGTTTTAAAACATATTTTAGGAGTAACATACTCTGTGTAAATGTTGGAGATACAGCTACAAATAAATCAGATATAGCCCTTGCCCTTATAGCATTTTTAGGTATGTGGATAAGAAAGAAACTGAACGTTGCACCATGAGTACAAGGAGAACCTTCATTGAGAGATGTTCAGGAGCATCTGGGGTGGATGTTGGGGAAATAGTGATGGGTGGAGTAGGGTATGTGAAACTGCTTTATTCATATATTCTAACTATGGATTCACAATAAAAGCCTACCTATTCCTCTCCCCTCTCCAATGGACTGTGTCAGCCTTCTTGTGGTCCTAATTCAAAGCTAAAGGAATCATACTACATATGTCAATAGTTTGTGAATTTTCCATTCATGGAATGCTTTATTGGAAAAAAAGTCAGAACAAAATGTACTTTTCATTAAAATAGCATGATTAATTGACTATATATAGGATAAAATACTGCCAAGTTGTATTAAAATTTCTATAAAACGTGTTGGCTCAAATTTGAAATATTCACTAAACATACAATTAATATGTGGGAAGAAGGCACAGATTAGGAGGGAAGAATAGTTTATGTGCCATGCCAGTGGCAAAATATAAGTTGGTGATTAAAATCATAATTAACTGGTCAGGTGCAGGGGGGCTTATGCCTGTAATTCTAGCATTTTGGAAGGTTGAAGCAGACAGATCACTTGAGCTCAGGAGTTTCAAGACTTGGGCAACATGACAAGACCCTGTCTCTCCAAAGGAAAAGAAAAAAAAAAAAAACCTAGCTGGGCGTGGTGTCACGTGACTGTAATCCCAGCTACCTGAGGGCCTGAGGTGGGATGATCACTTGAGTCCAGGAGGTTGAGGCTGCAATGAGCTGTGACAGATTGTGCCACTGTGTCAGCCTGGGTGACCAAATGAGACCCTATTTCAAAAAGAAACAAAAAAACAAACCTCATAATTCCAAAAGTTAATCAGAACCTCATAATTCCAAAAGTTAATCAGATTTCCAAAAGAAATCAGAACCTAGATTTGTGACTTCCAGCTTCATGACCCTTGGGCAAATTATTTAATCTTTCTCAATTTGTTTTCTCTTTTGTAAAATTAAAAATGGTGCCTACATCATAAATGGTATAAGGACTAAATTTGATAATTTAGAGTGAGTGTACGTGTTGGTTTTCAATACATTTTAGCTATTGTTATTATCACCATTCTCTAACTGGCAGACACTGATGAAGAAGAAGCCCAGCAGAATGGCTGAGAACACAAATTCTGGAACAAATGGCCTGGGTTGACTACTGGTTCCACCACTTCTATATCACAGATTTTTTCTCTCTTTTAAAACTGCAAAACAACTTTTGGGCAAAAGCTTTTATTCACCTCAACTCCCCCTTATTTTCCAATTTCTAAATCCTTTATTACTCTTGCTTTTCATAATATATCAGTGTGGTAATACTTGCTGGCTTTTTTTGCTTCTCCTACTGATTTTCAAGGTATTTCCTGGTATGTGTATCTTTAATGCTTAGCATAGTATCTTTAGCATGCTCAATAAGTGTTTGTCAAATGAATTGAATAACAAATAAATAAAAGTATTATGTATAGAACAGCAAGAAACCTCCAACGTAATGTGCTATCAGCATTATTCCAATAACCTCGGTCTGCAATCTTCTCACTCTTTGCCTTCTTCTCCATCCCCATTTTCTGCTTCTGTTATGCTTTGGCTTGAAGAAACAAAAGGCTGACCTTGCATGACATTGTGAAAATAACTTAAGTCCAAAATTTCACTAAATCCTTCCCACATCACCATCTTCCACCTTGGCCAAATCAGCTATATTTCTTTGTATATGTAGACCCTCTGCACCTCTGTCCCTCAGCAGCAATCCCATTTCCTTGCGGCTTAACATGGTTTTAGAATGTTCAAGTAGAATAGGAAGAATCTCTACGAACTAGGGATTTGAAGTTGATGTTTCAGCAAAGTACAGAAGTTCAAATCCTGCCTCCATAAATGCAATTCTGTTGTCCAGAGCATAACAATTCCTTTTAGCATTGCATTCTGTTTTTGATGATTTATGGGACCTTTGTTATTTTCTTTGCCTCCATTCCTCCCCAGAGTCAC